>NW_003871073.1:0-200998 GCF_000001405.40 Homo sapiens
GAATTCATTCACTACTGTCAGATTGTGTTTGTCCATTCAAGTAATTCAGGGAACCTATATTGGGAATAAATATAAAAATAATTATTAACTTCTAAGAAATATGACAAAAATATGTATATGTATATATACATGTGTATATATACAAGTGTATATGTGTGTGTATATATATACAGAAGTATATATATGTGTATATATGTATATATGTGTATAAACATACATATACATAAACATAAATATGGAGAAAATTATATGTACATAATTATTTTATATGTATATATATAAAAACATAATTTCGTATCTCCAACTTTAGTATTTTTCCATAAATCTTGAAGGTTGAGCAAATGAAACTTTCTTTTCTGTAAATTGATAATATCATCACACACAGTATACAATTATTTAATTGTCCCTTAAGAATATTTTAACACAGTGCATTAAAATAATGGGATATAAGCTAAGATCAAAAAAGTAACTGAAAAAAACAGTGTAAACACCACCAAATATGTTTACTTTCAATGGGGGGAAATTTGTTCAGAAAGTGGTATTCATACCATGCCAACAATTTGTCTCACATACTTGTTAGCTGCAAAACAAATGCCATAACTTTAAAACATTCTAACTACCAGAATCACAACCCAAGATTTAACTTAGCATCAGTAATAATGAACCAACTTGATAAGACAAACTATGGGTTGCACAGAATCTTAAGTATTTGTAACAAAGGTTTTTATCCTGAATATAAACAATACTTTAGATATTACTTCCTGCTTGTGGGTAACACAAGCAATAGAGAAACATGGCAATGACAGTGGAAATAATGTCAAGATATTTAAAGAAATAAAGGCTTGATATTAAAGAGAAATTAAAGTCATTAAGAGAGACATTAACATTATTAATATGATTAACATTATGAAAACCTACTGAAGAAATCCTATGTGGATGCATAGACCCAGAAAGAGAGAGAGAGAAGGAAAGAAAGGATAAGAGAGAGAAAAAGAGAAAAACAGAATAAGAGAGAGAAAGAGAGGGAGAGATCACATTTTTTATTTGTTTTACCTGAATGGCCCAGGCAACAGATATTCATTATTCAGATTAAGTTAAATGTAGACCACTTAGAAAATTTGTAGAATCCATTTATTGTAATTATTATGTAAAAAATACACTTATTTTTATTTCTTCAATTATATATATATATATATATATCACTCCTTGTAATCAATACATTTGAGTTGACAATGTTGTATGACATAGATATTATTATTTATATAATACCTATCATAGATAGACATCACTTTTTGGTAGAGTAGGAAACTCTAAAACTGTATATCTCTATTAAAGCAACAAAATTAAGATAACAAAACTATCGGAATCTACATTTTTAAGATTATTAAAATCTAGATTTTGGTTGATATTGTTGTCATGTTTCAACTCATCTGCCTACCAAGCCCATTCCTCAGCACCGTGGCAGCCATGAAGATGGTGACCCACATCATGGTGTGGCTGCCTGGTGACCAAGGGAGCAAAATAAGCCTTGCTCTGCAGGAATTGTAGTTGTGTTTTAACCCATCCAGTGGTTCCATGAAGGATCCACTCAGAGATTGGAGCTGGAATAGTCTCCTGATAGGACTTTGTTGAAACTATTTAAAGGCAAATATCCTAACTGCAGTTGCATGGGGAAAGGAAATAACAGACAAGTCAAACAGCATATAGATCAAAAAGCCCAAAAAACAAGAGGCTAAGCAAGGAGATAAATGGGTGAATAAAAGCTTTGAAAAGCTTCAGAGAATTTTGAGAGCTAAACACGTCTAGGTCTACAAAATTGCTCAGAAAAAAATCTGATAAGACCCTAAGATTTCAACTCTGGCTGAACTTTAGGCTCCACTCATGTTTCAACTTCAAAAGCAGGAAGTGAAGGCTAAGGCAAGTTTTTAAATGGTTGGCTAAGAGTTTAAGGACTATCCCAAACAGAGTCAGTGTTAAAAAATATGAGAAATTTATTTTCTTTCTCTTTTTAAAAATTTTTGCTCTAGAAATTTAGTGATACCTCTGAAAAATCACTGGCAGGCAAATTGACAGAATATTCTTTACTAAACATGCATAACAAAGAATTTTCTTTAAGAAAAAAATTAGAAAAGTAAATTTAGGAAAAAATAATTTCTAAAAACAATTTAGAAAAAAAAATCAAAACTACGGTCCACAACAACAAGGCAAACCCTGTAGAGGAAATAATACATGGTTTCTGAAGAAACCTCATTAAAATACTCAAAAAGTTAAACTTTAAATGAAAAATAAATATGTAAGCCAAGACACAAGAAAATATGTTTTATTCAGAAAAGGATTAAAAAAAATGGATAGAAACTATCTTGAGGAAGCCCAGAAACTGGAGTTACTAGACAAGGACTTTAACTGACTTATCAGCATAAGCATAATGAGAGTTCTGGAAGGAAAGAAGGGAAAGAGAAAGAAAGAACACTTGGAGAAATCATGACAAAAAATTCACAAATTTGATGAAAGATATGAATATACACATCCAAAGAAGCTTAATAAACCCAACAGAGGATAGATTCAAAGGGACTGACAGTGCAACATATTTCAATCAAAGTGTTGAAAGCACTTTGAATCTTAATGGTAGCAAGAAAGAGGTGGCTTATCATGTAAAAGGTATTCTTAATAATATTAATAGGTAACTGTTCATAAGAAACTATGAAAGCCTGAAGGTAGAGTGCTGAGAAAAATAAATCTACTAACGATTGTATATCTGGCAAAACAATTCTTCAAAATTGAAGCTGAAATAAAGACACAAACAAAAGTTGAAGGAGTTTGTCACTAGCAAACATGCCCTGCAATCAACAATATAAAAAGTGTTTTAGGATGAAATAAAAGGACAAACCAGACACCAACTAGAAGCCATACAGAGAAATTAAAAAAAAAAAAAAACAGTAAAAGTAACTAAACAGATGAATAAACAGGTGGTATAAAATCTAGTGTTACTGTTTTGGGAGTTCCTAACTCCTCATTATTTTGCCCTTTTATATGATTTAAATATAAATTCATAAGATAATAATTACAAATTTTTATTAATTTGTGCACAATTTATAAACATGCAATGTGTGAAATAGATAATTTGATAGTAGAGCTGCCTAAAAATTTTTAGGTACTATTGATCTTCAGTAGGCATTATTCAAATTAGGTTATTATAAATTTAGGAGTTCAAAAATTCAGAAGATAATATGAGAACAGAATCAAATAGTACAGTTTTGTGAGGTTGTATGTTTCCAGGGGGTTCATTGCACAGTAGGGTGACTACAGTTAACAGTAAGATTTCACAAGGTATTTCAAAAGAAAGCATTGTTATCACAGAAGATGACAGCTCCATGTATGTTATTGCCCCTCCAGATGTTCTAGTGGGAAAAGACATGGTTGAAGACAGTGATATTGATGATCCTGACCTTGTGTGGGTCTAGGCTAATGTGTGTGTGTGTCTTCATTTTTGCATGAAAAGTAAAAAAAAAAAAAAATCAAACAGGTTAAAAATAGGAAAAAAAGCATATAGACCCAGGATATTAAAAAAATTTTGTACAGCTATACAATGTGTGTTTAAAGCTAAGTTATTACAGAAGAGTCAAGAAGTTTAAAACATTTAAAAGGTTATAAAGTTAAAAACTTACAGTAAGCTAAGGTAATTATTAAGGAAATAAAAATAATTTTTATAAATTTAGTGTGGTCTAAGTATATAGTGTTTATAAAGTTTGCACTATTCTACAGTAATGTACTAGGCCCTCACATTCACTCACCTCTCACTCACTGACTCACCCAGAGCCACTTCCACTCCTGCAAGCTCCATTTTTTAGTACGTGTACTGTACAGATATACTATTTTTAATATTTTATACCATATGATTACTGTACCTTTTCTCTGTTTAGATACGTTGAGATACAGAAATAATTACCATTGTGTTACAGTTGCCTACAGAATTCAGTACAGTTACATGGTGTACAGGTTTGTAGGAGCAAGAGGCTATACCACATAGCCTGTGTGTATTGTAGGCTATACAACCTGGGTTTATGTGAGTACAGTGTATGATATTTTGCAAAAAACAAATCATATAATGACACATTTCTCAGAATATATTACTATCATTAAGCCACCCATGACTGTATTTCAATTTCTAACCTGGCACCTTTATTCCTATGACTCTGTCTTAGAGCAGAGGTTTTCTCCAGGTGCCTATGCCGAGAGACCCTCTATGAGAAGAGGAAGGGGAAATTTTAAGGATAATTTTCTCCGCTATTCATTATTTTCCAGACCTCATCGTCACTCTTTTAATTTCCCCTCCCTGTATACACACACCTCAATGTCCATAAAACTGCCAGTGCCTATTTTTCTGGGACTCCCTCAGAAGTGAGACAATCTCCATGTCTTTACTGATCCACTGGATGCTAGACCAATGTGCCAATTCCATGAAAGAAAAGAAACAGGAGGAGTTGGTGCTTTCTCAGGTCTTAAAATCTTGCTTATGTCATTGCAGTAACTGATTAACTCTTTCATTTATGGCTTATTGCCTTAATTAGCTGCACCAACATCTAGCAGTACAGTTCTCTTTCTCCAAACTCAGCTGAGTTCCTGACAGTTTTCTTAGTTAGGACACCAGAAGCACAAGCAACAAAAGTAGAAAACATTGATAAATTGGACTTTATCAAAATTGTAAAAAGAAACAAGATTGTGTATATCAAAGGGCATTATCAAAGAATAAAAAATACAACCTCTATAACTTTAAAAAATTATAATCATATATCTAGTAAGAGTATAGTATCTAGAATGGATTCTTACAATTCAACAACAAAAGATAAGCAAGTCAATTCAAAAATGCACAAAGGGAAAATATTCTGTATTCATGAACTGGAAGAATCAATATTGTTAAAGTGTTAATACTACCCAAAGTGATCTACAGAGTTAATATGATTTTTATCAAAATTGTAGTGTCACTTTTTATAGAAATAACCAAAAAATCCCAAAATTTATATGGAACTACATATAAAAAATCCTGGATAGCTCAGGCAATGTTGAGCAAAAGAATAAAGCTGAGAGCAACACACTGCTAAATTCTGAACTGTATTACAAAGCTTTGGTGATGAAAACAGCATGGTACTAACAAATAGACCAAATCAACCAATGGAACAGAGATTCTAGAGTTGAGTACCCAGTGGAAAAAAACAGTCTCTTCAACAAAGTGTGTTAGGAAAACTTAACATTCATAAGCAGAAGAATAAAATTGGACCCTTGTTTCACACTATATGCAAAATCCAGCTCAAAATGGATTAAAACTTAACTGTAAGACCCGAAACTATAAGAATCCTAGAAGAAAACATAGGGGAAATCTCTATGATATTGCTTTGTGCAGTGATTGCTTGGATAAGACCCTGGAAGCTCAGGCAATAAAAGCAAAAATATACAAGTGGGAATGCATGAAAATAAAAAGCTTCTGTATGTGAAAGGAAACAATTACCAGAGTCAAGAGACAAGCTACAGATGAAGAGAGAATATTTGCATCCATGCATCTGATAATGGGTTAATATCTAAAATAGATAAGAAACTCAAACTCAATAGCTATATATATATGTAGGCAAAGGATCTGAACAGGCATTTCTCAAAAAAAGAAAAAAGAGTTACAAATGATCTGGAGGTATTTGAAAAAAGAATGTTCTAAATCATTAATCATTATGGAAATGCAAGTTAAAAATGAGATATCAGTCCACACCTGTCAGACTATTGTAAAAATGATGAAAGATAATAAGTGTTGGCAAAGATGTGGAGAAAAGAAAACCCTGTCACACTGTTGGTGGAAATGTACATTTGTACAGCCATTATAAAAAAACTGTAGGAAGGTTCCTCAAAAATAAATATAGAAGAGATAGAATTACCATATGACCTGGCAATCCCACTTCTGGATATATAGCCAAAGGATTTAAAATCTGGGTATATATCCAAAGGATTTGAAATCTCATGTTTATTGCAGCACAATTCACAATAGCCAAGATATGGAAACAAACTGTTTCCATCGACAGGTGAAAGGATAAAGAGAATGTGGTATGTATAAACAATGGGATCCTATGCAACCTTTAAAAAGAAGGAAATTCTGTCATTTCCAACAACATGAATGAATCTGGAGGATGTTATGCTAAGTAAATAAGCTAGACAAAGGAAGACAAAAACTGTTTGGTGTATTTATATATGGAATCTAAAACAATAGAACTCAGAAGCGGAGAGTAGAATGGCAGTTACCCACCTGGGGAAGGAAAAAATGGGGAGATATTGGTGAAAGTGTACAAAGTTTCAATTAGAGAGGAGAAGTAAGTTTTGCTGAGATCTGGTGAATAGCATGGTGACTGTTGATAATACTGCATTGCATATTTCAAAATTGCTAAAACACTACATTTCAAATATTCTCACCACGCAAAATAAAAAACATTTGAAGTGATGGGTATGTTAATTAGCTTGATTTAATTATTCAGCATTGGATACATAAATAATAATAAACTAACTTTGTACCCAATGTATATATACAACTTTAATATGTCAATTTATAATAAAATATATGAAACTGGGCAAAGAAATTGAACAGACATTTCTCATTGAAGATCTGAAGATATACAAATGGCCACCAAGCACATGAAAAGATGTTCAATACCATTTCTCATTAAGGAAATACAATCAAAACCGTAAGGAGATACTCCTTGGTAACCACTAGGATGGCTGTAATAAAAAATAAATAAAAAGGAAAATTAAAAATACTGGCAAGAATGTGGAGAGATTTGTACTTTCATACATTGCCTTTGGGAATGTAAAATGACACACCTATTAAGAAAAGAGTTTGACAATCACTCATTAAGTTACACATAGAATTATCATTATGAAACATATGTAAGTTCACAGCAGCATTCACAATAGCCAAAGACTGAAATAACCCAACTGTCCGTCTACTGATAAATAAACAATTGTAGTATATCCATTCAATGGAGTATTAATCAGTCATAAAAAGAATGAAGTATTGATACATTCTAAATATAGATAAGCCTTGAAACCATTATGATAAATAAAAACTGTCAGGAGTATTGTATAATTAAATTTACATAAAATTTCCAGAATATTAAAGCTCATCCACATAGGTAAAAAGCAGATTGTTTCCAGGGCTAGAAGGTAGGGCAGAAGGTATAGCAATTGCTTAATGGGTACAAGAGTTTCCTTTCAGAGTAACAAAAATATTTTTTAACTAGATAGTGGTAATGGTTATACAATATTTTGAATGCATTAAATGGCACTAACTTGTAAACTTTTAAATGTTGAATTTATATTATGTAAATTTATGTGACATTTATTTTACTCCAATAAAAAATGATTTCACATTAGGACTATTTTGCTTTCATTTACCTTTATGTTACTCATCTTGATAACAAACATGTTATTATTTAATTATAACTAACTTTTGATACATGCTGTTTTATGTAAATTGGATTTCAATTTATAAAAGATAATTGAGTAATGTTTATTGTGACTACATACTACTGTTCACTACTTCCTTGAGTAACGCATTTTTGAACAGCGAATTCATGTTTTTCATTTAATAAAAGAAAATTGCTTGGCCATTGTGAAATTACAGCAGCATCAGCATTCTTTGAATCGCACTTACCCTGCAAATAAAAACATATATTTCTATGGGAACTTTACAATAGTAATAAGCAATCTACAATTATTTCACATTAATGATGACTTATAAAACAATGGTTTTTTAAATATAATTTCCTACCCACTATAGACTAACATTCTTGGCTTATTCAGGAAAACTGAATTAATTTTCTGGAGACAATGCTTTTTATGTATATACTAATGGATATGAAAAGTAGTAGTATGACCCATGTTTGGCTGCATAAGTGAGAGGTTGCAAATATGTTCTTTTCTACATCTATGCTAGTAAATACTAGTTTCCCTATGTATGAGAAAACATATGAGCTATTTCTTTAACTTATCTTTAGAGTTCCCTGTAAAGCACTAAACTCGTTTTACTTGATTTTATTTACATTTTCATGAGTTTATGTGACTATTGAAAATGACCTAGTTCTGGACATTTAAACATTTTTTTTCAAGAAAATTTCATTTTGTTAGACTCTCTAAACATATAAAAAATCACACTTGGACATATCTTAGCCTTGGACCTTCACTATGAAACTAGACCAGGTATAGAGATTAGAGAAGCTAGCTCATTCCCTGGCCCTGCCACTGTCCCCACTCCACAAATAACGACCTTCAACACTAAAATAGTTAACAATAAATGTATTACGCAATGACAGACCAAGAAAATATGCATTTGTATACATTTGTTTAAACATCAAAGTGAATTTTGAGTGGGAAAAAATAGTTTTAGAAATAGCCAATAAATAAATAAGGAATGGAAAAGACACCTTAATTTTAAGGAAAATATATATTGCTGCTTTGTAATTTTTAAAGGACTATTCTTTGCTTGTACCTGTATTTGTGCAGGTTTTAATTTTAGTTCTTATCTCCACTAGATGTGCATTTGATCATGCAAGGGACAATTTTATGGCATTTCAAAGACTCTTCTAACCCTTATAGGTACAGGGGATGATCTGTTCTCTTGCAAATCGGATATTATAATGTGATGGAGGCACTACGTAGTAAAATAGATGCTTTAGTATTTTGCTTCGGTCTTATCTCCAACTAAAAGTAATGTTTTGCAAATGACATTGACTCCTTCAATAATACTGGTAAATTTGGGAAACACATGAACAATGCATGATGCCTCTGAAAGAGAAAATGCAAAAATCATAAAAATACTGACATAATTTCTTTAATTAAGAGGTAACTGGAAATCATCATGCAAATCTGTTACTTGAGGTTAAAGTTCTGAAACAAATCCAATTAACTACAAATCACAAGATCATATTTGACATCTTGGTTGGAAATCATCATAAAAATCTTAGGAACCAAAGTGGGAGCTTGCTAACAACACTAACTTCTTTTTCAGAACTTGAGTTCTTGCTTTTTGTTTTTACTATTCAAAGAAATATCAGCTAACTACAGAGAAGTCATTATCTAGCTTTCACCAAAGATTATACTGAAGATGGCTGCAACATTGCACTAGCTCAGAAACTTCACTTAGAAGCAGATTGTTAAGGCTGTGGCTAAATCACCTAGATCAGTTGTTAGAAATTAAAGATAAAGGAATACAGGACCATGAAGAGTAACTGGAACTCTGAGGTGTAGTCACAGAAACAGGTGTAGTCTACTAAACTCTAATAAGGAATCTTTCTGTGCTTTCCATGTGTCCCTAAAGTAACCCAGTAAGAAAAATTTATGGGTTTCTTTCCTCCTTTGAGACTCTCCCTGAGGAGATGGAACACAATTTGTTAATTATGGCTAAAGCATTTGGAAGCTTCAAACAAAGCCAATGGGATATCTGCTAATAATAGAATATGCTTATATTTCCAAACAAGTAGAGTTATGTTAGTTACCTTTCCACCACTATTCTTGGTTATATTTTCTCTACTGCAACACAGAGATCTGGAATCAAAACTTCTATCTGTAGGACATAACTTTTTTTCTTGTAACTCTTAATATCTCTTTCCCAATATAGTGGATTTTTATGGCTTTGTAGCTAAGGATACAATAAAGTGCTTAAACACTGCCGATTGCATTATTTCAAAAATTTACATGAGAAAGTAATAAGTGTGTAGCTGTTTTTTCTGTACTTTGTGGTGTTTTAGATTTATTATTGAAGTAGAAAATACATATAAGCACATAAGCAAATGTACAAATCATAAATAAATTTTTACAAACTTAATTTCTAACTCAAGTTTTACAAACTTAACCTAAGTAACCAGAATCCAGATTAAACAGAAACAACAATAACAACAAAATAAAACATTGTCAGGACCCCATAAGAATCCTTCATTCTCTTTTCCTCCATGAACTTCCCCCAACACACTCAAAGAATGAACAGCTAGTATTCTGACTTCTAACAACATAACGTACAGCTATTTTTGTTACATTATATGAATAAAATCCTATGCATGTTATGTTTCCATTCCTGGGTTCTTTCATTCAATATATTGTGACGAGTAGTTCTACATTGCTCATTCTCATTTCTGTGCACAATTGAACATTTTATATATATATATATATATACACCACAAATTAGTTATTCATTATTCTAGAGGTTTTATGAATAGTGATGATATGAACATTCTATTGCATGTTTCAATTAACATAAACATGTATTTCCATTTGGGTATATTTCTTAGACTGGAATTGCTATGTCATAATATACACATGTTCAGCATTAGTAAATACTTCCAAATGAGTTTACAGAGTAGTTATAGCAACGTGCACTCCAATGAGAAAGACATAATAGTCATGATTGTTCACTATCCTTGTCGAGACTTAGCCATTCTCTATGGTGTGGGTATCATTGTCGTTTCGAGTTTCATTATCCTAATCATGAATTCATTGAGAAGCTTTTCATATGTGCAATGGTCATTTACATATTTTCTTTTGAAAAGTGTTCATGTCTTTTCTCCACTTTTACATTGATTTTCATATCAATTATGTATTGATTTGTAAGAATTATTTTCACATTTTGCATGAGTCCTCTGTCAGATACACATGTATATTATTTGATAAAGCATGTGTAATAAAATGTTCTCTCCTATTATAAGGATTGCCCTTTTGACACTGTTAATTTTGATGAAAAGGACTTCTTAAAATTGATTAATCTTTAATTTTATATGATTATTGCTTTGTTTATTCTGTTTAAAATTTTGTACATACTCCAATATCACAAAGATGTCCCTCATGCTTTCTTCTAAAAGCTTTATTATTTGTATTTTATATTTAGATCTTTAAACCATTTGAAATTCATTTTAAATAAGGAATGAGGTAGATGCTCAGATTTTTTAATTCAAAATAGATATATAAATTGTCTAATGCCATTTATCAAAAAGATCATTCTTTCTTTTTTAGAAAACACTGATGCCTCTATCATGTCAGTTGATACTATATGTGTGAATAAGTTGATAGCATAGGTTTCCATAAGGCAGCCTGAAAACAAGGATGCCTCTTGGGATATTAAATACTTTTTGTCTTTTCTGTTATGTTTTTTTGTATAAATACAAGTGTCTTTCTGGGTTGAGTACTCTGGTTTCTACGGTATTTACATTCTGTCTCTGAGGCATGTCTTTACAGGTGAATTTATTTTGGGTTCTCTCTACACGTCTAATTTAACATTTTGTTTGATCTGCACATATGGGCTAAAAATTTTGACAACACCCTTATCTTGGTTTCTTTTGAATTTATTATTTTATATATGTAAATGATTTGACTTATTTGTTTTGCTTGTTCCTGAAAGTTTTCTGAGAGTAAAAATATACAGCCTAAATGCTGGACACGAGATGGCTCATTAAAAGTCACTAAGGCAACACCACCAACTAAAACACTGATCTAAACTCCTGACATTTTCTTTATTAAATTATTATTATTATTATAATTTAAGTTCTAGGGTACACTTGCACAACATGCAGGTTTGTTACATATGTATACATGTGCCATGTTCATGTGCTGCGCCCATTAACTCGTCATTTACATTAGGTATATCTCCTAATGCTATCCCTGCCCTCTCCCCCAACCCCACAAATGGCCCCACTGTGTGATGTTCCCCTTCCTGTGTCCAGGTGTTCTCATTGTTCAGTTCCCACCTATGAGTGAGAACATGCAGTGTTTGGTTTTCTCTCCTTGCGACGGTTTGCTCAGAATGATGGTTTCCAGCTTCATCCATGTCCCTATAAAGGACATGAACTCATCCTTTTTTATGGCTGCATAGAATTCCAAGGTGTATACGTGCCAAATTTTCTTCCTCCAGTCTATCACTGATGGACATTTGGGCTGGTTCCAAGTCTTTGCTATTGTTAATAGTGCCGCAATAAACATACGTCTGCATGTGTCTGTATAGCAGCATGATTTATAATCCTTTCGGTATATACAGGATGGCTAGGTCAAATGGTATTTCTAGTTCTAGATCCTTGAGGGATCGCCACACTGTCTTCCACAATGGTTGAACTAGTTTACAGTCCCACCAACAGCATAAAAGTGTTCCTATTTGTCCACATCCTCTCCAGCACCTGTTGTTTCCTGACTTTTTAATGATCGCCATTCTAACTGGCATGAGATGGTATCTCATTGTGGTTTTGATTTGCATTTCTCTGATGATCAGTGATGATGAGCATTTTTTCATGCATCTGTTGGCTGCATAAACGTCTTCTTTTGAGAAGTGTCTGTTCATATCCTTCGCCCACTTTTTGATGGGGTTGTTTGATTTTTTTCTTCTAAATTTGTTTAAGTTCTTTGTAGATTCTGGATATTAGCCCTTTGTCAGATGAGTAGATTGTAAAAATTTTCTCCCATTCTGTAGGTTGCCAGTTCACTCTGATGGTAGTTTCTTTTGCTGTGCGGAAGCTCTTTAGTTTAATTAGATCCCATTTGTCTATTTTGGCTTTCGTTGTCATTGCTTTTGGTATTTTAGTCATGAAGTCCTTGCCCATGCCTATGTCCTGAAAACTCCTGACATTTTCTAACAGGATTTATAAGCTTCTCTTTTCTCTCAAGAGATTAATAAAAAAAAAAGTTATTTTCAAATATTGAGGCATGCCAGGTTTTCTAGGATTACAGCCAGCAATATAATATGGTCCATTCTTATATACATTGTTTAATTGATGGGAAAATTACATTGAGAAAAATTAAAAGTTCAAATGGTCATTAGTCAAACCCTTTTAAAAAAATAAAGCCCTGAAACTATAGAATTAACATGTAAATTTGTCAAGGTTTCCTATTTCTCTATTTTTCTTTTCTGCCTATTTTAAATCTGCTGACTTTTGTATTAGTGTTAAGCCAAAACTCAATTATTATGGCATTCCAGCCAAGACTATTTTTAAAAAAATAGATTTTAAAGAATTTTCAAATTAATGGCTTTACAAGCTACAACAGCTTCATGGTAACTTGGAAATATAAATGTAACTGTGTTTGACTAACAATTAGGGTAGTAGAATAGTTAGTTAAAGGATTAATAGTGTAAAAGAAAAAACTAAATAAAAGTTTATAAAAGTTTGGCTAACAGATCAAACAGGTCAAACTGTTAAGATCAGGGAAATAATATAAGATGTCTTTGTTAAATAAGATAAAAGTTCACATTGTCTGCAATCAGGGGCCAAAAGGAAAAAGAAAAAAAAAAAAGGAAAAAAATCCAGACTTACTAAAATGGTTTCCCGCTAATATTTGTCTGGTCAAGAAACACAAGACAGATTCAAGGCTACTCTTAAATTTGTTTTTCTTATACAACTCAGCCAGTCCTAGCAAAAATGTAAGTTTTAAATATTTAATCCTAAATTTACTTAAAATTAAAAAGAAAGAGAAAAAAGGAAAAAATAGTGTAAAAAAATTCCAATTGCTATGGAAAGTGCTGCTTTATACAAAATTTTGGTCGACAGCCTTCATTAGATTGCCTATCAGGCAAATAAAATTTAGTTATGTGAGGAGGTGCCAATTTTATAAAAAATATAATTTGAATCCAACTGTTTTTTTATAAACCAGTGAGTTTCTATAGTTTACTGTCTCATGACCAAATACTAAAATAAAGACTATAAAATCACTGTGTGTATATATGTGTTTAGGTACACTTATTGATATGTAAATATATTGTTGTATGTTGTACCTATATGGTAAAACCTAGTGCAGTTGGCCAGACATTCATTATGAAATTTTATTTAAATTGGCTTAAATAAATGAGCACTCATATAAAATTATATGATATAGTAATTAACCAAATGCCTTTTAGTTCATGTGACATAGGTATATCTTTAATAAATTAGCTGATTTTAAAATTATTGGTAAAGTAAGAAAAAAAATCTTCAGGATTGGAAACATACATTTCTGCCTGAATTTACTGGTCAGACACTTTTATACTTGTCTGGGCTAGATGGTTTAAAGTGTCAAGATTTGACACACAGGTTGTAAAACTATAAACCTAGCCTAAACCAGAATAATCTTTCTGTAACTCTTTGATACATAAGGGTAATTTTATATTGTCAGTTTAATGAAAACCACTGTATTTTTTGAATTATTGATAAAATACTCATATAATTAAAGTTCTTAAGTGAACACCTGAGAGTCACAGGCTATAATAATAATTGATAGGAAAATAATTTAAAAATATTCTAGTTTTGTTTAATATGTCAATTCTCATAGATAACACAGGTAAACTGTTAAAGTTAAATAAAATTTAAGTAAATGAGATAAATGCTTATAAATAAACTTTTCATGTAATTTAAAATTGTAAAGTTATGTTATGTTAAATTAAGTAATAAATATTCACTAAATAACTGGGTCATTTGCAAATTTTAGAAAATCAAACTGATTGTTAAACAAAATACTTTTATTCATGGTTTCTTAAATTATATAGAAATAGTAAATATACTAGAGTCTATCAGTACATACAAAAATTATGCTATAGGAAAACATGTTTCAAAATATATAAAATGGCTTCCATTCCATAAAATACTGATAAATGACAGATGGTTTAACACTGCTTGGTAGAAATTAGGTTGCTAAGAGTTAAAATTCCAATTAATATGTATATAATTCTGGGACAGAAACAGTGACTCACGCCTGTAATCCCAACACTTTGGGAGGCCACCTCCTGAGGTCAGGAATTAAAGGCCAGCCTAGCCAACATGGAAAAACCCCGTCTTTACTAAAAATACAAAAATTAGCTGGGCGTGGTGGCACATGCCTGTGATCCCAGCTACTCAGGAGGCTGAGACAGGAGAATCACTTGAACCTGGTAGGCAGAGGCTGCTACGAGCCGAGATCGCATCTCCGCGCTCCAGTCTGGGCAACAGAGCGAGACTCTGTCTCAAAAAATAAAAATAAAAATAAATAAAACAACAACAGTCAAAATCAATATAATTCTGTATAGAAAATGTATTAAAAACAAGATTTTTTGACAAAAAACTATTTACAAACCTAAAATATGTTCTTTTAAAAATAATATTGCATAATTCAGAGGTTTTTTAAAGATTATTTCAACAAATAGATTTAGGAAGAAAATTAAAACAAGACAAAAACTAGTAAATAGTTGAGAGAGATGTGACAAAAGTTATGGGTAAGAAAATGTATTTTTGGCAAAGAAGGTTAAAAAATTTTGTAGAAAAAAAATCTCGTGTGATAATTTTTGTACTAAAGTAAAATGCTTATTTTAAAAGGAGCAAGCACAGGACAAAATTAAAATTCCAAACATGTCAACAATGGTCTGAATAAATCATGAAAATAATTTTAAAGAGGAATTTATAAAATAAATTTTGTTTGTAATCAAGTTCTCTATAACTAAATGTATAAATATATTTATAAGTTATTCAGTATTAAATAAACTAATATAAAACTAAATCTTTGTCCCTTATGGTAAAACAATATGGTTTTATTGAAATGTTGGTTTGCTTTTAATAAAATTGCAAAAAGTTTTGATTTTTAATTTTGAAATCTGTTTCTGTAACAGTCATTTTCTAAACTGCAAACACTATCTATTTCTGCCAAATTTCTTTCTGAGATCCAATTAATTTTCCTAATTTCTGGTTGGAAATGCTGTATTTTTTTATTTAAAATGAGAATGTTACTTCTATAGGTAGATTTCTCCTCTTAAAGTATTTTAGATTCATATTTTGAAGTTCAATTTTTGCTATATCTCACTGCACGTGATTTTCAGGTTATTATTGCCTTCAGTTTTCCTTCTTTCTCCTTTTGAGAAGGTAATTTGTTCAGTTGTCTGTCTTTTCCACATCTGCATTCTGACCAGAAGGTAATTTGAGGTTTTTCTGCAGGACATGATCATCTGCAGGCTTTGCGGTTTTATAGTAGTTCTTCTTGGGCTCCATAATCTCAAAGCCAAACTTCCTGTAGAAGTCAATTGCCGACTCACCGCTGATCTGGACATGCAGATAGATGTCAAAAGTGCCATCTTTTTCACATGTTTAAGACATGAATTAACATTGTAGTTCCTATTCCTAGCCTTTGGTAAGGTGCCAGATATCCAAGTGTCATGATGTAAAGTCTTTTCTGATTCTGTGAATGAGCCACCCTAGAGTACACTGCACCTACAGGAACATCACTGAAATAGGCAAGTTTTGATCGTTCACCACCTCCATCACATCCTTGTAGAACTTACCATTGTAGCTGACTGAAAAGATAACCCGATTCCTTCTCTTCAACTGTTTAATATTGTGTGGTGTCCCATCTCCCAGCTCCATCCAGCTACCTTTCATCCTCCCCACCTGCTGAGGCTTTTGTTATCACCAATAGCAACTCAGTCATAGTTGCTGCCCTCAGCTCAAGACACTCAACCACACAAGATGGCCTCCTCACCCGGGCAGGGAGCTGAGCAGGTGACAGAGGCAGTGCGTCCCTAAGTCTCCTGAGGGGGGTGAGAGTGTCTCGCACCACTGCGCTGGTGCCACTGCTTCTCCACACATGCAAATGGGGCTCTTGGCTCTAAAATGAAGATTTTCTGATCTATAATTAACTTTGAAATTTTCCACTTGGGCCCATATGTCAAGAACATATGTCTTGCTAAATGATTAGTTTTATTTAGTAAAGTATAAGGGGGAAACATTGTCAAATACTAAGTGATGTTAAATCTTCTTTCAGTTACATTCAGGGGCATGTTATCTATACTTGTTTTAAAATCTACATAAACTTATGAAAATCTAATATGTTAGCAGTCATAATTTTGGTTGATAAGCTTAATCTTCTTTAAAGTTATATTTATATGGATGTATTATTGATGTGAGCATTTTATGATTTTCAGTTGTGTCACTTTTTTTTTTTTTTTTTTTTTTGAGACGGAGTCTCACTCTGTCTCCCAGGCTGGAGTGCAGTGGCACCATCTGGGCTCACTGCAAGCTCCACCTCCCGGGTTCACGCAGTTCTCCTGCCTCAGCCTCCCGATTACCCGGGACTACAGGCACCCGCCACCACGCCTGGCTAATTTTTTGTATTTTTGGTAGAGACGGGGTTTTACTGTGTTAGCCAGGATGGTCTTGATCTCCTGACCTCGTGATCCACCTGCCTTGGCCTTCCAAAGTGCTGGGATTACAGGCGTGAGCCACCGCGCCCGGCCAGTTGTGTCACATTTATAAAAGTCTGATAGCCCTGATGTGATTCAGCCAGTCATAATTCTGATTGATATTTTAAAATGTAATAGGTAATAATAAATAAATTTCCTTGTCAATTGAAAACTTTCATCAGATTTTTATCCATGACTATTCTAACTTTTTGTCATTCACAATTATTGCTTTAAATTCTTCTCTAAAAGTATTTACAATTAACTATAATCCAAAATTGCCTTTCATGGAAAAGACTTTAACAAGTATTCTTGAGTAGATTTATGACAACCTTAAAGGCAATGAAATAAATAAAAATGTCTAGAACTCTGATTTAAAAAACTTATAGGTTCATAAAACTTATGGGTTCATAAAACTGCTAATCAAGATCAAGCAATATAAAAATAACTGATGAAAATAGTTTTTATTATTTTATTTAAAACGTTGTTTAAAACATTGATTCTTTACTTAAATGGTTTGTTTTCAAGATTTAAGAAAAATTTCTCTCATAAGCTATAATTTACACAAATTTGGTAAAGGATAATTTTGTGAAAAAATTGAAAGCATTTGATTTCTCTCCCAATTTAATTCCTTGAAAATTCAAAAACTATTCATAAGTATTCTTACTTTTAATGACAATCTATATAATAACATAATTTCAATAAAAATCTGATTTATCTTTACAGGAGGACACAATTAGAAATATTGGTCATATTACCATGGATTTGACTGAAAATATGTCATATTTGAAAATTTGCATAAAATACCAGATTTCAACAGCTCCCTGCCTTACAGGGAATTAAGTAAAAATTATCACTTCTTGACAGGCCTAGGAACCTTAAGATTGTAAGTATGTAAACAAAATCCAAGGTCTGCCTTGGTTTGGCTTTCTAGCTTAAGAAGTTTTTAAATCTGAGATTTTTAGGTGATCAAGGCAGAGAAAAAGTCATGTTTCTAAAGCAAAGGTATAATATATCCATTATTCGGTTATAGCACTTTGCATTGTTTTTAAGTTCTTGTTATTTACCTGTAGACTACACTAAATTTTCAAGTCTTCTAGATTCTCCCAATACAACTTTCTTCTATAGAATTACTGAAAACAAAAACTTTTTTGTTCCAAAAGCCCTATAAGCTGAAACTAGATAAATTTTAAGGAACAAGCCTCCTGCCTCATATACGGGCCACAGAAAATGTTTACCAAACCACCTGATATTGTAATCAGTTATAGTCAAACTACAAACCATGACAAAAAGTTGATGTCTTAATGCCGTAGGCAGCTTTTCCCACAATGTCAGAATAAAACTCTATAATGGGGCTCACTATTCTCAGGCCTACCTTTTTCATTTGGCAGCATAAATGGCATTTGATTTATTCAATTGGTTGTCTTTAAGCCTAGGATCAAAACTATTATACAAATTGGGACTTTCATACTACTGTTAATTTTACTTTGTGTTTTCCACTTTTAAACTTTGTGTGCTACTCGTTGAATTTTTTCCAGAAATACAATTTCTAACAAAACAATGCTTACTCAGCACTTTCAGATGATGGCAAAAAGATTATGAAACAGACAGAACTGAACTTAATAATGAATTCCAGGTAGACTTAGCCTGTGAGTCTCTTCCTTCAAAACTCTCATGTTGCTCAAATATGGCTAATGGGGTTTTGTCATTAACTCACAGTCAGTAAGCACTCTCTCCAATGTGAGATGGGATCAGGAATGCAGAACAAGTCTATTTTTATTTTGGCACCAAGAAACATCAAAACTTAATGACAGTATGACTTACTAGTGGTGCTTTTGGAAGAATATTTTGATCAAAAGGGGGAAATGTGAAAGCTGTCAGAATCAAAATGGAGTTACTTCTGTTTAAAAAATTAAAAAACAACAAACACACATACACACAAACTGACGAAGCCTTAGAAGGCATGGAGAGAAGGTTCTCAGGCTTGTATGCCTGATAGCAAAAGTATCACAAATGACGGCAAAAATCACAACCTTGCACAAAGGCCATCACAACTTTAAAAATATATATACTTCTCCAAGGACATCTCTCCAGCAACTGCCTGTCCAACCTCAGACTAGTATCACTCTTATTACTGATTTTTGAAGCCAAAGGTAATATTCCTCATTTTTTTCTCTATAAAACCCTTTGTCTTCCTTTTTCTCTCTGAATATGCACATAATTTACTATGGCACTTGCCTTCTCATTGCAATGCTGTAATCCTGAATAAATATTATTCTCTTTTAGAGAGCCTCTCTCTGTTATTTAGGTTGACATGCCCCCTGGGGTGATTAACATATAGACCAGAGCTGACAATTTAATTGTTCTATCTTGCTTCTTTGAAAACTTATCTGCTTGGTTGATTGAGTTAATTCATCACATATGAATAAAAGTGTCACAAGTGGTATATGAGTGTGTATGTTTATATGTGTATATACTTTTGCAACATTAAAACCAACTGATTTTTATTTTTTATTCAAAGAAGGCCATGTGTATACTTTGTTTACATAAATTTTATAGTAAATAATGTAGAAAGGATATATAGCATGTCAACTTTTGTAAGACTATACCATTGAGCACTAATGAATAAGACAGGTACAGGAATCTATCTGAACATGTCACATTCCATGGAAAAGGGAATTTGCTGATGTGATTAAGAATCATGAGATGAGGAGGATTTTATGGATTATCTGTGTGAGTCCAAGACAATCACAGGGGAGAGAGGGAAGAAGAGGGTGAAAGGCAGAGGGGACACAGCAGTGGAAGCAGAGGTCAGAGTGATGAGATTGCTGACTGGAAGGAGAACATAAGCCAATTGCTGTAGGCAACCTCTAGAACCTGGAAAAAGCAAGAAAATAGATTGTCCCGGAGATTCCAGTAGGAATACAGACTGCCAACACCTTGGTTTTAACCTCATGAGATCCACTTTGACTTTCTGACCCCTAGAAATGTGGGATAATAAATTTGGGTTGTTCCAAGCTACTATGTTTGTAGTGATTTCTTACAGTAGCAATAGAAAACGAATACAAGAGACAACATCATTATTTTTACAAAATACACATGTGTAAGCCAAATTAAAAGGTAGAAAACACTGGAGTACTTCTTACTGACCTTAACTAATTTAGTAATATGCATAACATTGGTATAAATGCAAGTGTGAGTTTAGCCCTGTTACTCCAATGCTATTCATCTAGCCAGACCCAAAAGAATTGTTTCTAATGGGAAGTATAGTTCTCCAGTTACAATTATATCAGTTGATGAAGCCAAATACACATATCATAAAGTAGAAAAAGATACACAAATAAACAGATAAGTAACATAAAGGCAAATGCCATAGAACTATTATTAATGTTGCCCTTGAGACCAGAAATGTCCCTCATATAGTGTGATTTTTCCTGCCTTCAGTGATTCTGCTCCTTTAAGGCTAAAGTTAGAAGTTGAAATATTGATTTGAGTCACACAGTCCCCGGATTGAGTATGCTTCTAACCTTCCTGAAAATATTATAACTGTACTTTATTTCCAGACACTACCTTTATTTCACATATAAGTGCCACTCTCCCTCACTCCATCATGCATTAGTAGCCTTTTACATGCAAAGAGATGTAGTTCATAGTAACTACTAACTTAAAAAAAAACAGGAGGACATCTTTAAGAAAATATTATTTTTAAAAAATTTTGTCTGATAAAATTTCATTTCAAATTACACTGAATGAAAATGCTAAAAGTAGTTGTGTTTGGTATTATAGTTTCATAACAAAGGCAATTAACTTTACACAAATGTTTTATGATGAGATGGAAAAAAGTTGTGTGTCTTATTTGAGAGAACATCAACATTTAGCTTTGGGTGCACACACCAACTGAGAACAATGAAAAAAGAAAATCCCCTTTAAAAATTTGTTAGCCTGTTTTCCCTTAAGTCTTATTTCCATGTGTAGTTTTTCTGTGATAAAAAATTTATTTTTAAATACAAGATAAAAATGGTTCCACAAAAGTTGAACTTGATGGATAAAATGCTACAAAACTAAAAATATAATTTTTAGTAGCTGAACAAAAGATGTCTCTTGCAAGGAGGATGATCTGAGTTTTGACCACCTTCCAAGAAATGATGCCACATACCTCCACACGCACTATCAGGCATTCTTTTCCTTGTTTGGAAATTATTTTAAAAACCCTTTAGTGGCTTACATTTTATCTATAAGTTATCTATAAACTGTGATTATTTTCAAATTATTTTTATTAATTATAGATATTGTTTTCTTGTTTGCGTATGTGAGGTTGACATAAGAACAATTAAACATTTCCCACTGAAATGAATGGAATTTCTAAAAATTTCTTGACACTTTTTTTTAAAACACAGCAGTTTTCAGGAAAAAACGAAAAGCACTAAAGGAAGATAGTTTTAGCTTTACATTTACATTAGTTTGAGTGATCGGCATGGGTTATCTAGGAACCTCTTTAGTGCATCCTTCACGTTCTTGTTCCTGAGGCTGTAGATTAGAGGGTTCAGCACTGGTATCACCAGGGTGTAGAAGACCGAAGCCATTTTGTCAGTATCTAATGAATGATTACTCCTTGGTTGCAAATACATGAAAAGGAGAGTCCCATAGAACACAACCACAGCTATCATGTGAGAAGCACAGGTGGAAAAGGCTTTTTGTCGTCCTTCTGAGGAACGTATCCTCAAAATGGTAATAACAATGTTGAAGTAGGATATCAGAACAACGATCATGGAGAAAAGCAAGTTGGTCCCTGAAAAGATAAAGACTGCTGTTTCTGGAATGTAGGTATCAGAACAGGACAATGCTAGCAAAGGGACATCATCACAGTAAAAATGGTTGATAATGTTGGAAGAACAGTATGACACAGAGAACACACAGGAAGAGACAGTCAGTGCTGTGATAAGACTCTGAAGGTATGTGAGGGACACCAGCAGACGACACACCTTTGGAGACACCACTACGGCGTAGAGCAGAGGGCTCCAAATAGCCACATAGCGGTCATAGGCCATTGCAGCCAGCGTGAAAATCTCAGCCACAATGAAAACCAAGAATCCACCCAGTTGGGCTGCACATCCATAGTATGATATGGTTTTCTTGGTAACCAGGAAGTTAACCAGCATTTTAGGGGCAACGACAGTAGAATTGCAAAGATTAATAATAGCCAAGTGTCAGAGGAAAAAGTACATGGGGGTTTGAAGTTGAGGGTCAACACTGGTGAGGGTGATGATGCCCAGGTTCCCTGCCACGGTCAGCAAATAGAGCACCAGGAAGACCAGGAAGAGGGGAATCTGGAGCTCCGGATCATCTGAGACTCCCACAAGAATGAACTCCGTCACCCATGTGAGATTTCCTGAAGCCATTTGTATTGTTGGCTTCATCTTTTACCTGAAAAAGTTGAAAGAAATCAATTGATGATAACATTGATGTTTCTGTTAGATGCTAGGTTGTTAAATATTTCATTTGAAATCAGTTTATTTTGTTTTACAAACTCTTACAAGTTTCAGAACCTAATTGTTTTTCTCCCCATGTTTTCATAAACTTCAGAAATAAAAACTCCCCAGACAATTAAGAGTCTTAAAACTGGCCGGGCGTGGTGGCTCACGCCTGTAATCCCAGCACTTTGGGAGGCCGAGGCGGGCGGATCACGAGGTCAGGAGATCGAGACCATCCTGGCTAACACGGTGAAACCCCGTCTCTACTAAAAAACACGAAAAATCAGCCGGGTGTGGTGGTGTGCGCCTGTAGTCCTAGCTACTCGGGAGGCTGAGGCAGGAGGATGCTGCGAACCTGGGAGGCGGAGCTTGCAGTGGTGCCACTGCACTCCAGCCTGGGCGACAGAGCGAGACTCCGTCTCAAAAAAAAAAAAAAAAAAAAGAGTCTTAAAACTGTTTGGACAAGCAATTTATGTATTTACTATTGGATATAGTTTATATTGAGTGAATACATATTTATTTGTTTTGTAATATGTCTTAATATTATGCATTTATCAACTATATTAGCACATAATATTGGATGAATAGATATGCATTTTATATTAATGTATATTCACATGTATTATATACATAGATTAGCATATGATATTGATTAATATATATACACTTACATGAACATGTAATTTATTACTTACAATTTTTATTTGTGTGTTTCTGTCTGTGTTTCCAGTGATAAGAGAGAGCAGCCTTAAGAAGTTGATGACACGGGGTGACCACCAGTTATCTTTTTCCTAGCTTCCACTGGTGACTTATCCAGCCCCTAACTTGTCATTAATAATTCTTGGGAATTTCAACATTTCTATGGGAAACACTTTCAGTATTCTGGATTTTGCTTTATCAATTTCTACCGCATAATGTTGCTTCAGCTGTGCAGAAGTAGGCCTACACTTCAATATTTTTCCCTCTGAGTGTAATTCTGAAAGTCAGAATCCTTTTTACTCAATCACATTTCGTTACTTCTGCTAGATAAGCCAGTCCTGTCCTATCATTGTGACTTCTCTTACTCAGACTCTTCTCTACTATTTTGTTCCAGAAGCCCTACTCTCCCTTCCCTTTCTAGCTTATACTTTTTCATTTTAAATTGTTATTGTTTTATTTTTTAATGCTTATTACTTACAACTTTTATTTGTTAAAGTTAGATTACTTTGATTTATTATACTTGTATAGAAAGACGAGTGGGGAAGGCTGTTAATATTTATTTAAAAAGTAACATGTGTTGAAAGTTATCCTAAGAATTTTGAAATAGTTATCTCATTCTGCAGGAGCACCCTAAAATATAGGTAGATGGTAATTATTTTCATGTCTAATAAGAAAATTGAGTCTCATTGAAGTAAAATTACTCAAAAAGACTGTGTAAGACATTGTTCCAAACTGCATGGTTTTATGATTTTGTTTCTGTGATTGATTGTGTTAGTCTACCAATTAATACTCAAAATTACTTGAAAATACTATGTAGACATTGATCTAAACTTCATGGTTTTATTTTGTTTTTGTGATTTTGTTTATGTAATTGGTTTGTTTTAGTCTACCAATTAATACCTAGGTGATTTTTACCAAGCATTATATTCTTGTATTATCCACATTAAATGAGATAATGCACATAAATGATTTGTTTTTATAGAGCCTGGTACCAAGTGAATGCAAAATGGATGCTACCTTCAGTTTTTGTTATTAGCATGCTTTGAATGATTTTCAATGTGAGTTCTTAATTCCAGTAATTCATTCCACCTTACTGAGTGCTTTTACAGTTAATACAGAAATAGCAAATGAATTATACTACTGCATATTTTTTAAAAAACTGGGACACACAATATCTAGCTCCTTTTTTAACAAACAAAACATGCTGTCTTGCAATCAGATTACCTCTTAAATCTTCAATGTTTCTTTGTTATGATACATTATTAAATACATCAAATATGAGTCTGAGAAACTGATCTGATTGTGTGTAGCGCCTATCCTCTATCTTTTGTTTCTTGCCACTGCGCTAAAAAGAACTGCATGTCTTATAAGCAGGCAAGCTTATGATTTAAAACATTGTGCTAAAAATTACTTTGATCAAAATATTTCCTGTTTGGCTGCCACACACAAAGCAACTCAGTGCATTGTTCATTCTGACATTTATATTCCATAGACACCCTTAATTTAACAACAAAAAAGAACATCATGAGCAATAGCAATTATTTACTGGCTACTCTTGAATTTGTGCAATTAGCTCGGGGAAGGAAGATAATTTGCAAATATTTAATATCTTTACCCATTATTAATTTCTCCTCCTCTGAAGCATGGCTGAGGGCAGAGCTGGAGTTGATTATTATTTCAGCAAGTATATGCCATTGACATAAAGTTTCCTTAGAACAAACCCAGTTTTCTCCTGTTGAGTTTTCTTTTTTTTTTTAGAATATTTTTTGTTAGAATTTTCCTGTTAAGAGCTATTATAATTTTTCACAAAAGTTTTTTTAAAATTAGTTTTTGAAAAGAAATATTTTATAGGTCTACCAATACCATGAATCTCAATATAAAATAAATAAAAATATACCTGAGGTTAATAATTTTAATGTCAATTTCACTGTAAAAATTGTCACCCTTTGGATGAGGTGTTATGTTGCAAATTAACTCTTAAATAGCTTCTGAGAAGATTTCAAGACTATATTTCATTAATGTCTAACTGTGGAATTTGTGTTAATCTTGTTGAGACATGGGTCTGGTTTGAGACAAGCACTGAATCTCAACGTGAGTTTTTGGCATCCATCAGGGAGATTGACTATTAGTACCAGGGAATCTTTTCATCCTAGGATTTTTCACCCCAGGGAATGCAAGAATAAAAGCTCATTTTCATCATTGTCAAGTATTTTTGAAAGCCCTTTTTTGAAACATCAAATCATATGCATCAGAGACACATAAGATACTTCCCTTTTGGTGTAGCATTCTCTCTAAACATCTCGGTTCTAAGGCAGAAAAAAATCAGTGTTCATATTAAGGTGGAATATACTAACTGTAATGACTATTCATTATTTGGTATAAATGTTCAAGCTGTCTAGTCTATCAATAGAGATGCTGGATACTATTGTTTATGTTGTATCACTGTCACTTCCAATAAGCAATCAGTGGGCAGATACTTGAGTTATTTGGAAAAGAAGACAAATTAGATATCATTTCAATCCTGAGTCTGATTTAAATTGGTAAATCCTCAAAGATACTTGATTTTTACATGAAACTTAGAAAGAAGTAAAATATTTGGTGTAACCTACCTGTGTAGAGAGATCTGGCCAGGCCCAGACCCAAGGTTCCTGCCCGAAGCATGCTAGAGTTTTTCAAGGGTCTGAAGTCTCTGAAGACCTGCACACTGAATATGTTTGTTTCTAGCTCCCAGTCCCCAAGCTTGACAACAAGATTTTCCAAATAAAAATCAGATTCCCTGGGGAAAGAAAGACAAACAGCATTCATTAGCCAAGATTCCACTCAAAATTTTACCCAAAGAGTGAAATGTGGAGATTGCCTAGGGACTCACTTAGATAATACTATTAAATAAAAAAAGAATGCAATTACTCCTATATAAAATGAGAATTGATACTGCTGGCCCTGGGTTGAAAAAATCAATACATAGCAAGCACAGGATTCTGGCTCCAATGGTCAATTTCAATGTGAATATTGTGAACAGAACTAAATGTAACCCCCATATTCTGCATCAAGAGCAACTCCTGATACATAAGTCATAAAAACCAGGTGATATAAAACATAAATTCAACATGTGAGTGGTTATAAAAAGTGAATATCAACTTTTAATTAACTTCTTAATGTGACCAGAAGGGGTATTAATTAAAATTCTTGTTGTACTTATCATATATTTGGTCTTATTTCTAGGGATTAATTAAAATTATTTGGTTGGAAAATATGTTTTTTTATATGATGAGCCTGTGATATTCCCTCAAAGCATATAGAAGCATCTTAAGTAAATACTGATAGCATTTCTTTTTTTTTAACTTATTATGTGGAATTTTCTAGTCTGTAAGCATTGTAGATGCAAAAGGTATGTCTGCAGTTACATTCTAGACACTGTATTTCCATCACTCAAATTAAACAATACTTTTATATTATATGCTTTATTATTTAAAATAATGGATCATTAGATACAACCTAAATTTTCACTTAACCAGCTTCTCCCATTTCCATTTCCTCCATTCTATTCAGAATTAACCACTTTTGATTATCACAACCTTTTTTTTTTATTATTATACTTTAACTTCTGGGGTACGTGTGCAGAATGTGTAGGTTTGTTACATAGGTATACATGTGCCATGGTGGTTTGCTGCACCCATCAACCTGTCATCTACATTAGGTATTTCTTTTAATGCTATCCCTCCCCTAGACCCCCAGACCCTGAAAGATCCTGGTGTGTGATGCCATCCCCCCACCCACAACGTGTCCATGTGTCCTTATTGTTCAACTCCCACTTATGAGTGAGAACAGGTAGTGTTTGGTTTTCTGTTCTTGTGTTAGTTTGCTGAGAATCATGGTTTCCAGTTTCATTCATGTCCCTGCAAAGGACATGAACTCATTCTTTTTTCTAGCTGTATAGTATTCCATGGTGTATATGTACCACATTTTCTTTATCCAGTCTATTATTGATGGCCATTTCAGTTGGTTGCAAATTTTTGCTATTGTAAATAGTGCTGCAATAAACACACATGGGCATGTCTTTTTACAGTAGAATGATTTTTAATCCTTAGGGTATATACCCAGTAATGGGATTGCTGGGTCAAATGGTATTTTTAGTTCTAGATGCTTGAGCAATCACCACACTGTCTTCCACAACGGTTGAGCTAATTTACACTTCCACCAACAGTGTAAAAGCATTCCTATTTCTCCACATCCTCTCCAACAAGTTGTTTCCTGACTTTTTAATGATCGCCATTCTAACCTGCATGAGATGGCTATCTCATTGTGGTTTTGATTTGCATTTCCCTAATGAGCAGTGATGATGAGCATTTTTTCATGTTTGTTGGCTGCATAAATATCTTCTTTAGAGAAGTGTCTGTTCATATCCTTTGCTGATTTTTGATGTTTTTTTTTCGTGTAAATTTGTTTAGGTTCTTTGCAAATTCTGGATATTAGCCCTTTGTCAAAGATCAGATGGTTGTAGATGTGTGGAGTTATTTCTGAGGCCTCTGTTCTGTTTCACTGGTCTATATATCTGTTTTTGTGCCAGTACCATGCTGTTTTGGTTACCGTAGCTTTGTAGTATAGTTTGAAGTCAGGTAGTATGATGCCTCCAGCTTTGTTCATTTTGCTTAGGATTGTCTTGGCTATGCGGGCTCTTCTTTGGTTCCATATGAAATTTAAAGTAGTCTTTTCCAACTCTGTGAAGGAAGTCAATGGTACCTTGATGGGGACAGCACTGATTCTATAAATTATTTTGGGTAGTATGACCATTTACACTATACTGATTCTTCCTATCCATTAGCATGGAATGTTTTTCCATTTGTTTGTGTTGTATCATATTTCCTTGAGCAGTGTTTTGTAGTTCTCTTTGAAGAGGTCCTTCACATTGCTTGTATGTTGTATTCCAAGGTATTTTATTCTCTTAATAGCAATTGTGAATGGGAGTTCATTCATTATTTGGCTGTTTGTCTGTTTTTGGTGTATGGAAATACTTGTGATTTTTGCACATTGATTTTATATCCTCAGACTTTGCTGAAGTTGCTTATCAGCTTAAGGAGATTTTGAGCTGAGATGATGGGGTTTTCTAAAAATATACAATCATGTCATCTGCCAACAGAGACAATTTGACTTCCTCTCTTCCTATGGAATACAATTTATTTCTTTCTCTTGCCTGATTGCCCTGGCCAGAATTTCCAATACTTTGTTGAATAGGGTTGGTAAGAGAGGGAATCCTTGTCTTGTGCCAGTTTTCAAAGGTAATGCTTCCAGGTTTTGCCAATTCAGTATGATATTGGCTGTGGGTTTGTCATAAATAGCTCTTATTATTTTGAGATACGTTCCATCAATAACTAGTTTATTGAGAGTCTTTAGCATGAAGGACTGTTGAATTTTGTTGAAGGCCTTTTCTGCATCTATTGAGATAATCATGTGGTTTTTGTCATTGGTTCTGTTTATGTGATGGATTATGTTTATTGATTTGTGTATGTTGAGCCAGCTTTGCATCCCAGGGATGAAGCCTACTTGATCGTGGTGTATACGCTTTTTGATGTGCTGCTGGATTCAGTTTGCCAGTATTTATTGAGGATTTTCACATTGATGTTCATCAGGGATATTGGCCTAAAATTTTCTTTTGTGTTGTGTCGCTGCCAGGTTTATCAGGATTACATTGGCCTCGTAAAATGAGTTAGGGAGAATTCCCTCTTTTTCTATTGATTGGAATAGTTTCAGAAGGAATGGTACCAGCTCCTTTTTGTACCTCTGGTAGAATTTGGCTGTGAATCCATCTGGTCCTGGATTTATTTTGGGGGTTGGTAGACTATTAATTACTGCCTTAATTTCAGAACTTGTTATTGTTCTATTCAGGGATTCAACTTCTTCCTGATTTAGTCTTGGGAGGGTGTGTGTGTCCAGGAATTTGTCCATTTCTTCTAGATTTTCTAGTATATTTGCATAGAGGTGTTTATAGTATTCTCTGATGGTAGTTTGTATTTCTGTGGGATCAGTGGTGATATCCCCTTTATCATTTTTTATTGCATCTATTTGATTCTTCTCTCATTTCTTCTTTATTAGTCTGGCTAGTGAGCTATCTATTTTGTTGATCTTTTCAAAAAACAAGCTCCTGGATTCATTGATTTTTTGAAGGGTTTTTCATGTCTCTATCTCCTTCAGTTCTGCTCTGATCTTAGTTATTTCTTGTCTTCTGCTAGCTTTTGTATTTGTTTGCGCTTGCTTCTCTAATTACTTTAATTGTGATGTTAGGGTGTCAATTTTAGATCTTTCCTGCTTTCTCTTGTGGGCATTTAGTGCTACAATTTTCCCTCTATACACTGCTTTAAATGTGCCCCAGAGATTCTGGTATGTTGTGTCTTTGTTCTAATTGGTTTCAAAGAACATCTTAGATTCCCACACAATAATAGTGGGAGACTTTAACACCTCACTGTCAATATTAGACAGATCAATGAGACAGAAAATTAACAAGGATTTCCAGGACTTGAACTCGGCTCTGGACCAAGAGGACCTAATAGACATCTACAGAACTCTCCACCCCAAATCAACAGAATATGCATTCTTCTCAGCACCACATCACACTTATTCTAAAATTAACCACATAATTGTAAGTAAAACAAATTCAAAAGAATGGAAATCATAACAAACAGTCTCTCAGACCACAGTGCAATCAAATTAGAACTCAGGATTAACATATTCATTCAAAACCACACAACTACATGGAAACTGAACAACCTGCTCCTGAGAAACTACTGGGTAAATAACGAAATTAAGGCAGAAATAAAGACTATCACAACCTTTTATTCTCTTTTCAAGAGAGATTTATCATCTTAAAAATTGTAAGTGTGGGGGTGGAGCCAAGATGGCCGAATAGGAGCAGCTCCAGTCTACAGCTCCCAGCATGAGCAACGCAGAAAATGGGTGATTTCTGCATTTCCAACTGAGGTACCGGGTTCATCTCACGGGGGAGTGTGGGAAAGTGGGTGCAGGACAGTGGGTGCAGAGCATTGAGTGTGACCTGAAGCAGGGCGAGGCATCGCCTCACCTGGGAAGCACAAGGGATCAGGGAATTCCCTTTCCTAGTAAAAGAAAAGGGTGACAGACGGCACCTGGAAAATTGGGTCACTCCCACCCTAATACTGCACTTTTCTAACAGTCTTAGCAAACAGCACACCAGGAGATTATATCTTGTGCCTGGCTCGGAGGGTCCTATGCCCATGGACCCTTGCTCATTGCTAGCACAGCAGTCTGAGGTCAAACTGCAAGGCAGCAGTAAGGCTGGGGGAGGGGCACCCAATATTGCCGAGGCTTGAGTAGGTAAACAAAACAGCCCGGAAGCTTGAATTGGGTAGAGCCCGCTGCAGCTCAAGGAGGCCTGCCTGCCTCTGTAGACTCCACCTCTGGGGGCAGGGCATAGACAAACAAAAGGCAGTAGAATCCTCTGCAGACTTAAATGTCCCTGTCTGACAGCTTTGAAGAGAGTAGTGGTTCTCCCAGCACGCAGCTGGAGATCTGAAAACGGACAGACTGCCTCGTCAAGTGGGTCCCTGACCCCTGAGTAGACTAACTGGGAGGCACCCCCCAGTAGGGGCAGACTAACACCTCACACGACTGGGTACTCCTCTGAGACAAAACTTCCAGAGGAATGATAAGGCAGCAACATTTGCTGTTCACCAATATCCACTGTTCTGCAGCCTCCAGTGTTGATACCCGGGCAAACAGGGTCTGGAGTAGACCTCCAGCAAACTCCAACAGACCTGCATCTGAGGGTCCTGATGGTTAGAAGGAAAACTAACAAACAGAAAGGACATCCACACCAAAACCCCACCTGTACATCACCATCACCAAAGACCAAAGGCAGATAAAACCACAAAGATGGGGGTAACAGCAGAGGAGAAAAATGAAACTGTAAAAATCAGAGCGCCTCTCCTACTCCAAAGGAACGCGGCTTCTCACCAGCAATGGAACAAAGCTGGACAGAGAATGACTTTGATGAGTTGAGAGAAGAAGGCTTCAGACGATCAAACTATTCAGAGCTAAAGGAGGAATTTCGAACCCATGACAAAGAAGTTAAAAACCTCGAAAAAAAATTAGATGAATGGCTAACTAGAATAACCAATGCAGAGAAGTCCTTAAAGGACCTAATGAAGCTGAAAACCAAGGCATGAGAACTACATGCTGAATGCACAAGCCTCAGTAGCCGATTCAATCAACTGGAAGGACGGGTATCAGCGATGGAAGACGAAATGAATGAAATGAAGTGAGAAGAGAAGTTTAGAGAAAAAAGAATGATAAGAAATGAACAAAGCCTCCAAGAAATATGGGACTATGTGAAAAGACCAAAGCTCCGTCTGGTGTACCTGAAAGTGACGGGGGGAATGGAACCAAGTTGGAAAACACTCTGCAGGATATTATCCAGGAGAACTTCCCCAATCTAGCAAGGCAGGCAAACATTCAAATTCAGGAAATACAGAGAATGCCACAAAGATACTCCTCGAGAAGAGCAACTCCAAGACACATAATTGTCAGATTCACCAAAGTTGAAATGAAGGAAAAAATGTTAAAGGCAGCCAGAGAGAAAGGTTGGGCTACCCACAAAGGGAAGCCCATCAGACTAACAGCGGATCTCTCAGCAGAAACTCTAGAAGCCAGAAGAGAGTGGGGGCCAATATTCAACATTCTTAAAGAAAAGAATTTTCAACTCAGAATTTCATATCCAGCCAAACTAAGCTTCATAAGTGAAGAAGAAATTAAAATCCTTTACAGACAAGCAAATGCTGAGAGATTTTGTCACCATCAGGCCTGCCCTAAAAGAGCTCCTGAAGGAAGCACTAAACATGGAAAGGAACAACCAGTACCAGCCACTGCAAAAACATGCCAAATTGGAAAGACCATCAAGGCTAGGAAGAAACTGCATCAACTAACGAGCAAAATAACTAGCTAACATCATAATGACAGGGTCAAATTCACACATAAAAATATTAACCTTAAATGTAAATGGGCTAAATGCTCCAATTAAAAGACACAGACTGGCAAATTGGATAAAGAGTCAAGACCCATCAGTGCACTGTATTTAGGAAACCCATCTCACGTTCAGAGACACACATAGGCTCAAAATAAAGGGATGGAGGAAGATCTACCAAGCAAATGGAAAACAAAAAGAGGTAGGGGCTGCAATCCTAGTCTCTGATAAAACAGACTTTAAACCAACAAAGATCAAAAGAGACAAAGAAGGACATTACATAATGGTAAAGGGATCAATTCAACAAGAAGAGCTAACTATCCTAAATATATATGCACCCAATACAAGGGTACCCAGATTCATAAAGCAAGTCCTTAGTGACCTAGAAAGAGACTTAGACTCCCACACAATAATAATGGGAGACTTTAACACCCCACTGTCAACATTAGACAGATCAACGAGACAGAAAGTTAACAAGGATATCCAGGAATTGAACTCAGCTCTGCACCAAGCAGACCTAATAGACATCTACAGAACTCTCCACCCCAAATCAACAGAATATACATTCTTCTCAGCACCACACCACACCTATTCCAAAATTGACCACATAGTTGGAAGTAAAGCACTCCTCAGCAAATGTAAAATAACAGAAATTATAACAAACTTTCTCTCTGACCACAGTGCAATCCAACTAGAACTCAGGATTAAGAAACTCACTCAAAACTGCCCAACTACATGGAAACTGAACAACCTGCTCCTGAATGACTACTGGGTACATAATGAAATGAAGGCAGAAATAAAGATGTTCTTTGAAACCAACAGGAACAAAGACACAACATACCAGAATCTCTGGGACACATTCAAAGCAGTGTGTAGAGAGAAATTTATAGCACTAAATGCCCATAAGAGAAAGCAGGAAAGATCTAAAATTGACACCCTAACATCACAATTAAAAGAACTAGAGAAGCAAGAGCAAACACATTCAAAAGCTAGCAGAAGGCAAGAAATAACTAAGATCAGAGTAGAACTGAAGGAAATAAACCCTTCAAAAACCTCTTCAAAAAAATCAATGAATCCAGGAGCTTGTTTTTTGAAAAGATCAACAAAATAGATAGCTCACTAGCAAGACTAATAAAGAAGAAAAGAGAGAAGAAGCAAATAGATGCAATAAAAAATGATAAAGGGGATATCACCACTGATCCCACAGAAATACAAACTACCATCAGAGAATACTACAAACACCTCTATGCAAATAAACTAGAAAATCTAGAAGAAATGGATAACTTCCTCGACACATACACCCTCCCGAGACTAAACCAGGAAGAAGTTGAATCTCTGAATAGACCAATAACAGGAGCTGAAATTGTGGCAATAATCAATAGCTTACCCACCAAAAAAAGTCCAGGACCAGATGGATTCACAGCCGAATTCTACCAGAGGTACAAGGAGGAGCTGGTACCATTCCTCCTGAAACTATTCCAATCAATAGAAAAAGAGGGAATCCTCCCTAACTCATTTTATGAGGCCAGCATCATCCTGATACCAAAGCCTGGCAGAGACACAACAAAAACAGAGAATTTTAGACCAATATCCCTGATGAACATCGATGCAAAAATCCTCAAAAAAATACTGGCAAACTGAATCCAGCAGCACATCAAAAAGCTTATCCACCATGATCAAGTGGGCTTCATCCCTGGGATGCAAGGCTGGTTCAACATACACAAATCAATAAACGTGATCCAGCATGTAAACAGAACCAATGACAAAAACCATATGATTATCTCAATAGATGCAGAAAAGGCCTTTGACAAAACTCAACAACACTTCATGCTAAAAACTCTCAATAAATTAGGTAATGATGGGACATATCTCAAAATAATAAGAGCTATCTATGACAAACCCACAGCCAATATCATACTGAATGGGCAAAAACTGGATGCATTCCCTTTGAAAACAGGGACAAGACAAGGATGTCCTCTCTCACCACTCCTATTCAACATAGTGTTGGAAGTTCTGGCCAGGGCAATTAGGCAGGAGAAGGAAATAAAGGGTATTCAATTAGGAAAAGAGAAAGTCAAATTATCCTTGTTTGCAGATGACATGATTGTAGATCTAGAAAACCCCATCGTCTCAGCCCAAAATCTCCTTAAGCTGATAGGCAACTTCAGCAAAGTCTCAGGATACAAAATCAATGTGCAAATATCACAAGCATTCTTGTATATCAAAAACAGAGAGCCAAATCATGAGTGAACTTCCATTCACAATTGCTTCAAAGAGAATAAAATACCTAGGAATCCAACTTACAAGGAACGTGAAGGACCTCTTCAAGGAGAACTAGAAACAACTGCTCAATGAAATAAAAGAGGATACAAACAAATGGAAGAACATTCCATGCTCATGGGTAAGAAGAATCAATATCATGAAAATGGCCATACTGCCCAAGGTAATTTATAGATTCAATGCCATCCCCATCAAGCTACCAATGGCTTTCTTTAAAGAATTGGAAAAAACTACTTTAAAGTTCATATGCAACCAAAAAAGAGCCCACATTGCCAAGTCAATCCTAAGCCAAAAGAACAAAGCTGGAGGCATCATGCTACCTGACTTCAAACTATACTACAAGGCTACAGTAACCAAAACAGCATGGTACTGCTACCAAAACAGCATGGTACTGGTAACACAACAGAGATATAGACCAATGGAACAGAGCAGAGCCCTCAGAAATAATGCCGCATATCTACAACCATCTGATCTTTGACAAACCTGACAAAAACAAGTAATGGGGAAAGGATTCCCTATTTAATAAATGGTGCTGGGAAAACTGGCTAGCCATATGTAGAAAGCTGAAACTGGATCCCTTCCTTACACCTTATACAAAAATTTATTCAAGATGGATTAAAGACTTAAAAGTTAGACCTAAAACCATAAAAACCCTAGAAGAAAACCTAGGCAATACCATTCAGGACATAGGCATGGGCAAGAACTTCATGTCTAAAACACCAAAAGCAATGGCAACAAAAGCAAAATTGACAAATAGGATCTATTTAAACTAAAGAGCTTCTGCACAGTAACAGAAACTACCATCAGAGTGAACAGGCAACCTACAGAATGGGAGAACATTTTTGCAATCTACTCATCTGACAAAGGGCTAATATCCAGAATCTACAATGAACTCAAACAAATTTACAAGAAAAAAACAAACAACCCCATCAAAAAGTGGGCAAAGGACTTGAACAGACACTTCTCAAAAGAAGGCATTTATGCAGCCAAAAGACACATGAAGAAAGGCTCATCATCACTGGCTATCAGAGAAATGCAAATCAAAACCACAATGAGATACCATCTCACACCAGTTAGAATGGCGATCATTAAAAAGTCAGGAAACAACAGGTGCTGGAGAGGATGTGCAGAAATAGGAACACTTTTACACTGTTGGTGGGACTGTAAACTAGTTCAACCATTGTGGAAGTCAGTGTGGCAATTCCTCAGGGATCTAGAACTAGAAATACCATTTGACTCAGCCATCCCATTACTGGGTATATACCCAAAGGATTATAAATCATGTTGCTATAAAGACACATGCACACGTATGTTTATTGCGGCACTATTCACAATAGCAAAGACTTGGACCAACTCAAATGTCCAACAATGATAGACTAGATTAAGAAAATGTGGCACATATACACCATGGAATACTATGCAGCCATAAAAAATGATGAATTCATGTCCTTTGTAGGGTCATGGATGAAGCTGGAAACCATCATTCTCAGCAAACTATCGCAAGGACAAAAAACAAAACACTGCATGTTCTCACTCATTGGTGGGAATTGAACAATGAGAACACATGGACACAGGAAGGGGAACATCACACACCGGGGCCTGTTGTGGGGTGGGGGGAGTGGGGAGGGATAGCATTAGGAGATATACCTAATGTTAAATGACGAGTTAATGGGTGCAGCACACCAACATGGCTCATGTATACATATGTAACTAACCTGTACATTGTGCACATGTACCCTAAAACTTAAAGTATAATAATAAAAAAATGGTAAGTGTATATGGCAGTAATCTTACCTATACGGGCAACAACAACAAAAAATAGATAAATACAGAACCTCTCTAGAACTTAATCCACTGGCGTGACTGAAATGCTATACCTGTTTTATAGTAACTCTCCATTTATTCCTGCTTCCTAGCCCCAGCACCTGGAAACCCCCATTCTCCTCTGTGTTTATGCATTTGATTATTTTGCATACCTTATATAAGTGACATCACAGAGTACTGGTCCTTTTGTGATGGACTTATTTTACTTAACACAATGTCTTCAAGGTTAATAAATTCTGTCTAGTTTTTAAAATAAATCAATTTACTATTATATTTTTGGTAAATAAACGTTATGTATCATTTCTACTTATGTAGTTTTAAATTTATGTGAGGGAATTTATGATGTCTACATCATTTTTGATTGACTTATTTTTTCTTCAAAGAATATGATTTTGTTATTTACATATCTTGATTGTTATAGATTTGTTTATGCATTTAAACTAGATTAAAAAATTGGTTGTGTTGAGTCTTCTATATTACATGAAACAATGTAACTCACATCTTTTTAGTCCTCATTTTTCTCTCATACAATATTCTATCAAGTCTGTACACTTGGATGACGCTTGGAAATTGTTAGGCCACATAGTGTCAATATTTTCAAATCTGTTAGATGCAACAAAAATTTTTTGGTATTTCTATTTATAATATATGTTAGTACTTACATTTGCAAATATTTAATGTTCATACAGCCAGGAAAAAGTTGGGGATATTTTTCCACTCACACCTCTAGCAGTTTTAATAATTCCAGGAAGCTCCTATTTTGGTAAATAAAGGAAGCAATAAAATATCATTAAAATTTTACTTTGAACAATAATTAAAAATACATTTAGTCTACCAGACAACTGAATAGCCACACAAAAATTAATAAAGAAGAACCACTACATCTAATTATACACAAAAATTAACTTCAAATCAACACCCTAAATATAAAAGTAAAATGATAAAACTCTTAGAAGACAACATAGGTGTAAATCTTCACGACCTTCTTTGTGTTTGGCAATAGATTCCTAAACATGCTACCCCAGCTACAAGCAACAACAGCAGAAAATTTATAAATCAAGCTTCATCAAAATTAAAAATATTTCCTCATCAAAGGACATTATAAAGACAGTGAAAAGACAACCTAAAAAGTGGAAGGGAAAATTTTCAAATAATACATTTGATAGGTATTAGATAACTAGAATACATAAAAAAAACTCCCACAACTCAACAATAAGGAGTCAAATAACCTCAGAAGTCTACTTAAAAATGACAAAAATACTTGAATAAAATTTTCTCCAGAGAGATAAACAAATGCCCAATAAAAACATGAAAGTTACTCAACATTAGTTATTAGAGAATTGTAAATGAGAATCACAATGAAATACCACTTCATATCAATCAGAATGGAAGACAGAAAATAGCAAACGTTGGTGAGGATGTGGATAAACTTATACCCTCGTGCTTTGCTGTTGGGAATGTAAATGTAAAATCATTCAGGTACTAAGCTACTATACAAAGCAGTTTGGCAGTTCCTCAAAAAGTTAAACATAGAATTACCATATGACTACAATTCCACTACAAGATATATACCCAGGTAATCAAACAAAGTCATGTAGAGGCAGCTCTACTCACATTAGCCAAGAGGTTAAGAAAAACAAAGTCAAAATTTCCATCAACAGATAAATGGATACACAAATTGCGATATATGCATACAGTAGGATATTATCCCTCTCTGTAAAATAAATATAGCTTTTGAATAAAATAGAATAAACTTAACTAAGGAGGAGGAAGGTGTGTAGACTGAAAACTACAAAACATTTGTGAAATAAATTCAAGAATATAACAAATGGAAAGTCATCCTAGGTTCATGAATTGGAGAACTTAATATTGTTAAAATGCCTATTCTATCCAAAGCGCTTTGCAGGTTCAATGAAATCTCCAAAACCCCAAAGACCTGGTTTACAGTAACAGAAAAAAAGAAAGCCCTAAATTTTATATGGAACCACAAAACACCCTGAGTAGTCAAAATAATCTAGAAGACGAAGAACAAAACTGGAGGTTCCATATTTTCTAATTTCAAAATATATTACAAATCTGCAGTAATTAAAACTGCACAGGACAAAACATAGTGTTTCACGCCTATAGTGCCAGCAATTTGGAAGGCTGAGGAAAGTGGATTGCTTGAGGCCAGAAGTTCAAAACCAGTCTTGGCAACATAATTAGATCTCATCTCTACAAAAAATAAAATAACATAAAAATTACCTGGGCATGGTGATATGCACCTCTAGTCCCAGCTTTTTGGGAGGCTGAGGCAGGAGGATCTCTTAAATCCAGAACGTTGTCTGCAGTGAACCACAATCAGGCCACTGCACCAGTGCACTCCAGCCTGGGTGACACATTGAGACTCTGCCTCAAAAAAATAACAAAACAAAACTGTATGGTACTTACATACAGACTGACATATAGACCACTGGAAGATAGAGAGAGATCAAAAGAACAAATCCACATATATATGGTCCACATCTTCGACAGGGCTCCTAACACAGAGTAAAGGAGAGTCTCTTCAACAAACGGTTCTGGGAAAACTGGATATCCACACGCAAAAGAATAAAATTGGGCCCTTATCTAATTATACTCAAAAGTCAACTCAAAATGGATTAAACATAAGACCTGAAAATTCAAAACTCCTAGGAGAAAAGATAGAGAAAATTTTTATTACATTAGTCTTGGGAATGATTGCTTGAAGATGATACCAAAAGTACAGACAGCAAAATAAAAACAAAATTGACAAGTTGGAATTTATCAAACTAAAAAACTTCTGCATAGTTAAGGAAACAATCAACACAGTGTATATACAGTATACAAAATGGGAGAAAATATTTGCAAACCATATATCTGATAAGGGTTTAACTTCTAAAATATATTAAAAACTCCTACAACTCTATATCGACAAACAAACAAACAAAAAATCCTAATGACCCAATTGAAAACAGGCTAAAGACATGAATTGACATTTCTTCAAAGAAGAGATACAAATGACCAACAGATATATGAAAAGATACTCAAGATCACCACTCAGGAGGAAAATGCAAATCAACACCACAATGAAATATCACCTTATACCTGTGAGGATGTGTGAGGATGATAATTATTAAAAAGAAAATAAAAGACAGCAATTATTGAAAAAAATATGAAGAAGTTAGGACCCTTGAAATTTTTCAATGAAAAGCAAAATGGTGCAGACACTATGGAAACTGCTAAAAAAATATAGAACTACCATATCATCCAATAATCTCTCCAAATTTGGGGTATTTATCCAAAAGAGTTTATATTACAATATCAAAAAGATATTAGAACACCCATGTTCATGCAGCATTATTCAAAATAGCCAAGAGGTGGAAACAATCTCAGAGTCCATTGATGGATGAATGGGTAAAGGAAATGTGGCATATACATGCAATGGCATATTATTCAGCCTTAAAATATGGGCATCTTGCAATATAGGAGAACATGGATTAACCTGGAGGACATTATACTAAATGAAACAAACCAGTAACAAAATAATAAATACTGCATGATTCCATTTATAGGAAGAATCTATAAAATACTCAAACTTATAGAACCAGAAAGTAGAATGGCAGTTTCAACGGACTAGGAGCTGGGAGAAATGGGGAGTTTTTAATCAACAGGTATAAAGTCTCAATATGCAAGATAAATAAGTTCTAAGGATCTACTTCCAACATTGTGCCTATAATTAAAAGTAATGTAAACTTACAAATGTTAGAGGGTATATTTCATGTAAAGCACAATAAAACACAATTTAAAAAATAAAAGAGGCCGGGCGCGGTGGCTCAAGCCTGTAATCCCAGCACTTTGGGGAGCCGAGGCGGGCAGATCACAAGGTCAGGAGATCGAGACTATCCTGGCTAACACGGTGAAACCCCGTCTCTACTAAAAATACAAAAAATTAGCCGGGCATGGTGGTGGTGGGCGCCTGTACTCCCAGCTACTCGGGAGGCTGAGGCAGGAGAATGGCGTGAACTCGGGAGACGGAGCTTGCAGTGAGCCGAGATCGTGCCACTGCACTCCAGCCTGGGCGACAGAGCAAGACTCCGTCTCAAAAAATAAATAAATAAATAAATAAATAAATAAATAAATAAATAAATAAAATAAAATAAAATAAATGATAAAACAACCCATGCTACAACAGACATGGAATGTTTTCAAATAATGTTTGAAAACATTATGCTAAGTGAAAGCAGAACAGGAAGCAAAGGTCACTTTTCTATGGTTCCTTTATAAGAAATATCCAGAATAGGAAAATACAGACATGGAGCACAGATTTTGGGGGGCTGGAGTAAGTGAGAACTGGGGAGAAACTACTTATTGTGTACTTCTTACTGATGGACGTGTTCTGGAGCTAGACAGAGGTGGTGATTGCACAATATTGTGAATGTAGTAATTGCCACTGAATTAATTATTCCCATAAATAGTTAATTTTATCACATGGGAATTTTACCTTAATATATTATTTTTAAATGAGTTTAGATATAATTTTACATGTTGTGTGCCTTTTTAAATTAAGTCCCAACTTTTATTTTGCCCATGTAACTGATGTGTATTCTTGATAACAAATTGTGTCTGATACATGAAAAGAAATTGTTTATTTTATGAAAGCTTTTAGTTTATAAAGTTTCAAATTTAGTGTACTCACCTTAGTTTGTATTTGCTAGCAAATTACCCAAAAGTGTTTGAGTGTTTTCTATCATTTCACATTTACATTTTCTAGATTATTATTAAAGTATATCCATTGTCCATAAGAGGTTTCACCTTTTATGAATTTTATCCATGTATATTTTATGCATTGTGCTATAAATTTTATTATGAATTAACTCAACAAATGAATGATTGTATCTATTTTCCCAAGTCTGTAGTTTGGTTTTTTATTATATTTTTGGTACTTTTTGTCATGCAGACTTTACAATTTTTAAAGAATGAAAACAATCTTTCTGATTTTAAGTGGTGTTTAAAGATCTCTTCTATTCTAAAACATACACACAAGCACACACACGCCACACATATGCACACAGGGGCTGTCCTCATTTGCATGATTTTGCACACACATATGATGAATATCAATGACCATAACTTAATTTTGACTTTTGAAGTAAGGAATCACATAATATCAGAGGACAGAGCCTCCAAACAGGAGAAAATAAATGCAGATGTATTATGTAGAAATATTCTGTGGGAGGATATGCTCTATATTTATACTTTTGAAGTGTGATTTAGATGTATTAATCATATTTTAGCAAAATATTCAAAATATTCATTATATGGAGATGAAAGAAAACAATACACATTTTTAAGTAAAGGTTACAAACATAAATGCCTGTGAATGTGCATTTTTGTGTATATCAATGACTATCAGCATGTATGTACATGTATACGTGAACATATGTATATGTATACATACATAAAGAAAATAGATGACACAGATTTTTCTACATGTAAGAACAGCATAGGTACAGGGTCACTTATGATCTTTATTTTAAAACGTCCAAGAAAAAAAACAGGATTACACTAATAAATTAAACATTTTTATTATCGTCTAGGGAAAACTCTTGCTAACCAGGTTTTTCCTCTACTGTCATACCACAACAATCATCAACACAGAAGACTTCTGTGATCAAATGGGTAGGGATTTCTTCCTCCCACACCACGTGGTAATCACCAACTGGGTATCCTCTAATTCAGTTGCAACACTATCTACCCAGAGATAGTGTCAGATCCCATAGGTTGAGGGTTCAGTCCCCAAAACTGCCCCCTGACAACACCAGTCACAAATTCGGGTCTCTGAAACTTTGACCAACCTGCTTCAAGTTGGATCTCCCATGACCCCCTCTTTGGGTTTCATTAAATTACTGAAGCAGCTCACAAAACTCAGGGAAACATATTACTGGCTTATTGAAAAGGATATTGCAAAGGACACTGGTGAAGGGATGTGTAGGGCAAAGTATAAGGAAAGGGGTGCAGAGTTTCCATGCCCTCCCTGACCATGCCACCCTCTAGGAACTTCCATTTGTTCTGCTCCCCAGAAGCTCACTGAACCCTATCCTCCTAGGTTCTATGGAAGCTTCAAGGCATCAGCATTCCCTCCCCGAAGGTATAGGGTGGGACTCTCTCATGGGAGAGTCTTAAGATTCACAATCAGTAAGGCAGACATTGGAACCCAGCCTTGGTGCAAGTGAAAGGAGGGCAGGAGAAGGTAAAAGGCCTGCCCCTGAGGTATAACACCCAACATTATAACAAAAGACTGTAACAAAGGCTATGGGAATTATGAGCCAGGAACCCTGGATGGAAACCAACATATATCATAACACCACAATGACACATTCTTGGTATTGAGGTGCAGAGTATCACCCTCACCTTTTATAATTTATTTTTTAGTATGAAAATATACTTTATTGATAACCTGATTTTTCCCAAACATTTTTTTCATTGAGTCTTTTACATCTTTGTTCCTCAAACTGTAGATGACGGGATTCAGCAAGGGAATCACAATGGTGTAAAATATTGACACTATCATGTCATGGTCCGAAGCATAGCTGGAACTTGGTCTCACATACATGAAGAGGATTGTCCCATAATAAATTGACACTCCAGTTAGGTGAGCTCCACATGTGGAGAAGACTTTTCTCCTCCCTTCAGCAGAATACATCTTCAGAATGGCCAACAGAATCAAACCATAGGAGATCAGAACAATCAGGATAGTGACCAGCTCGATAGAGCCCACAAAGTAGAAGAGTAGAAGCTGGTTTGTGTGAGTGTCAGAATAAGAAATAGCAAGGAGAGGAGGGATATCACAAAAGACACGCCTAATTTCATTGGCTCCACAGAAGGATAGGCTAAATGTAGCCACTGTATGTATAGTAGCATGTAAAATGCCAGCAACATAGGAAGCATTGATGAGTGGCATGTAGACTCTGGGTGACATGCTCACTGAATACAGGAGAGGGTTGTAGATGGCTACATAGCGATCATAAGCCATTGCAGCCAAGAGAAAGCATTCTGTGGTTCCAAAACTACAAGCAAGAAACACCTGTGCTACACATCCAAGGAATGAAATGACTTTATTCTTTGTCGTAAAATCTACTAACATATTTGGGGTAATAACTGAGGAATAGCAGGCATCCACAGAAGACAACATACTCAGAAAATAGTACATGGGTTTGTGGAGCTGGGAATCCCTAATGACCACTAAAATCAGTCCTAAATTTCCCATGAGAGTGAAGAGGTAGATTGCTAGAAACAGGAAGAAGAAGATAGTCTGCAGTTCAAGATTGTCTGTGAAGCCCTTCAGTACAAATAAGGTAACTTCAGTGACATTCTTCATGTTGAAATCTAGAACAAACTTGAAGATATGCATAAAGTTACAGTTCATATTATGACAAAAAGAATGAACAACACCATGACTCAAGGGGATGTTAACTGTGCTCTTGTATATACTGTACGACATATATTCAGCAGTGCATAATTCTCTAGTAGTGAATCAGAAGACAGTGACAAACTGGTCAGCCATGTGTTCATGCCACTCACTGCAGAATCAAATGGAAGAAATGGACGTTCATTAGTTGGCTGGACTTATTCTGTTTCTAAAATCATCAGGTCTACTGGTTAATTTACCACTGAATTGTATTAAGCTGTTTATATATTAAATAATATTAAAACACACAAAAATGAGTGGCTTAAACAATCTTTGGGCATCCAAATACACAAGAGACTGTATCAGGGGACAGAGCATTGGAATACAATACCAGAATTTTAGAACTTGTAGCAATTGTGCAAAATGATTTGCTATATCTACTTGTCTATAGAATGAGAACATTAATAGTTTGTTCACAAGATTGGAGTAAATATTGAAGGAAAATTGCATTAATAAAATATAATATGTAAAATAATTTTGATTATAGAATATGCTGAATTAAGTTGGTTCTACATTCTATCAAGATTAAATCCAATGAACAGTTATGATTTTTTTCATCTGCTCATTCAAATGTCTCTGAATTATTCTTTGGAGAATGAAGAAGTTTTGTGAATTACTTGATCATTTTATGCCAAAAATAAACATGCAAATTACCATGATTCCATTTTCTACATTACAATTGTCTTAATTTTGCTTTGTGCAAATAAGATACTTCAACCAAATTTCTTGTGAGACAGGCATTTCTACTAGATGCCAAAATAAGTTATATTGGGTAAAAATTAAGTTAATATTAGCACATAGTCAAAGATTCAGAGTTATAAAGAGAAAATCACTATGATTCTTGAAGATTTAATAATATAGAATCAACTTTTTAAATTAATGCAAATCTATTTTTATGAAACAAATTTTAATGGAAGGGAGAAAACTTTAAATATCGTGAATGTAATAACGAAACACTAAGTTTGCTAAATAACAGGCATTTATTTAGCACTTGCTGCAAGAACAGACATTTCTTGTACATTACCTTATTTCACCTTTATAGCAACTTTCATAGCTAACAATTTCCAGAGCCAAGATTCAATCCCAGGTTTCTCTCATTGTACATGAAATTTTTGCATTTTTTCATGGCCTCATAAATGGCTTCATTCTGCAACTGGAACACTCTTCCTCTTACCCCTCTGCTGACCTCAGGGAAATAAAGGTAAAGCAAAACATGATTCTCGATGTATTTGTATTTTTTAAGCCATTAAATCTAGAGAAACATAAAATAAGTAGCAATCTGAAGTGACTTCTAGATTATAAAGCCAGAAAATAAATTTAAAATAAGTATTGATTGTTTTCCTTATTACTTCAAAATACAAGACCCCAGATAAATGAATAAGTCAAATGTTTTTTTGCCCTTTGTTGATATTTATTGGTAAATTCATGACCTTTGAACTATCTTTATCTATAAGAAAAATACAAGCATATACTCTATTAGGAGCACTCTTATTTATCTCTATAAGTACAAATACAATATTTTCTATTTTTTATTGTTTTCTAGTAAGTGTTGGATTTTAATTCTTAGGCATAACTCTAAATAAATCATATTTTGATGAATACACTTGATTCACATATGTAATAGTCCAGAACTGAAGTGTTTAGTTCTTGGTGTTTAGCAGCTAAAAAGTTTAGTAAAAAAAAACATAGTTATTCTTGATATTGTAGGTTCTAGCTGCCGAAATATTCTTCAAATTATCTGAAATTTTCTCTTACCTGTGGAACAGCAAATGCAGATTTAGGTATTCTATGAATATGGCTAACTTAGATTGTTTATATCTTTGTAATTGACTGTTGATGAAATCCAAGGAGATGTCCCAAGGGGAATATGCCCCAATTATCTTCTGTTTCAAAATAGCACCATGATGATTTACTTAATAATAAAAAGTAAATGATTCCGGAATAAGGCACTGCATGCTCCTACTTATTGAATCAATAGAGTTCTTTGGCTTCTGTTTAAAATGTGTCAGATTTGAATTTCCCTGATGACTACTGATGTTGAACATCTTTTCATACATCTGAAGGCCATTTGTATGTCTTCTTTGGAAAAAAAATGTATTCAAGTCCTTTGCCAGTTTTAAAATAAGATTATTGTTATTGTGGCTATTGAATTTATATATTTTGATATTAATCCCCTATTAGATATATCATTTACAAATATTTTTTGTTTGGCTGATGGTTTTCTTCATTGTGCAGAAGATTTTGACTTTGACGTAGCCCTACTTGTCTAATTTTGGTTTTGTTACTTGGCTTTTTATGTCATTGCTTGTATTTTTATGTTACATCCAACAAGTTACTGCCAAGCTGAAGGTCCTAAAGTTTTTCCTTATGTTTTCTTCTAGAAATTGTAGTTTCAGGTTTTATGTTTAAATTTTTAATCCATTTTGGGTTGGTTATTTTATATGGTATAAGACAAGGGTCCAATTTAATTTCCCATTGTGTATTCTTGGCACACTTGTGAAAGATCATTTGACTATATACATGTGGGATTGTTTCCAGGCTCCCTATTCTGTTCCGTTGGTCTATATATCTGTCCTTATTCCAGTCCCATGCTATTTAATTACTGTAGTTTTGTAATATCATTGAAATAAAAAAGTATAATACCTCTAGCTTTGTTTTTCTTTCTCAAGATTCCTTTGGCTATTTGAAGTCTTTTGTAATTGCACATAATTTTTACGATGTTTTTTCTATTTCTGTAAAACCCAGCACTAGGATTTTGCAGGAAATGCATTAAATCTGAAGACCCCTTTGGGTAATATGGAGATTTTAATTATTGCAGATCAAAACCACAATGAGATATCATCACACACCTGTTATGGCCATTATTTAAAAAAAAAAAGTATTGATAAGAATGTGGAGAAATTGGAACCCTGGTGTACTGTTGACAAGAATATAAAACAGTGCAGCCATGATTGAAAATAGTATGGAAGTTCCTTGAAACATTAAAAACAGGATTACTATACAATCCTGAAATTCTGAAACCACCTTCGCAAAATTATGACAGTAAGAGAAATCTGCCATGACTGACTTCTTCTTGCTTCTATCATCACAGGCTGTCTGTCTTTGCTCATCTCTGGGCATGGACCAAATAACTTCGGGAGAAATTTAGTTTATAGTTTAAATGATAATAGTCCTTTGCAAAAACTAAACCACCTTTGTAAAACTAATCAAAGGCACCAAGTTAAGAGGATGAGAGGAGTCTGTGTTCTGCTAAGATATAGGCCTAGTAAAATGATTACCAGCCATTTTTTCCTGGAAGTCACAAGATTTGCAGCTTCCCCAATTATTCCTGCAGATAACATAGCTATTGTAGAACCTAAGATTGGCATTTTGAGATTCTTTTCAAATATTTGTATATCTGATAGCTGGATGGCCCCACCTGGACCTCTGACTCAAACAGTCATGTGGCCCCCACCCAGAAACACACTCAACACATGAGGATCATTTTCCACATCCCTATGATTCATCCTAAACTGATCAGCAACACCCATACCCTAGCCCTCTGCCCATCAAACTATCTTTGAAAAGCACCTAACTTTCAAGCCTTCAAGGAGATTGAATTGAGTAATAACTCCCTCTCCCATATGGTGTGGCAAGCCTCATCTCTTTTGCTTATTCTCATGCATTTTCATCCTCATAGCTTAGCTCCAGCTTATGAATGAGATGACATGATATTTATTTTTCCATTCTTTTCTTTACTGCAATGCCGTGGTCTCAGTAAATTGATTTTGTCTGTGGAGCAGTCAGCAAAAAATCCATTTGGCAGTTACAATTCGATATCTGGGTATTTATCCAAAATACTTGAAATCAGGATTTTGAAGATATATGTAGTCCATGTTTAATGCAGTATTATTCACAATGGCCAAAATGTGGAAGCAACCTAAATGTGCATTAATAGATTAATGGCAAACGAATAAGAGGTATATACACAGCTTTAAAAAGAGTAGACCCTGTCATATGTGTTATCATGGTAGAACCAGGAGGACTTTACTGACAAACACTGTGTGATTCCACTTACGTGCGATATCTATAATACTCTCAATGATTAGAGAGTAGAATGGTGGGCTGCCAGGGGCTGAGGAGAGGGGTAATGGGAGTTTATATTCAATGGATACTAAATTGCCATCATGTATGACATAAGAATTCTAGAGATCTATTGTACAACATTGTGCCTATAGTTAATACTGCATCACACACATAAATTTTGTTGAGAAGGTAGTTCTCATGTTAAATTTCTTATCATAAAATTTTTGAAAAAACAAAAACACAGAAAATGATGCTTTAGAAAAAACTATGATTCAAGACTAGGTAAGAGCTCTTAAATCCTAAAGTTTAAGCTTCAATCATAGTGGTGACCATGGGTTAGAACTTAATTTCTCTGAGGTTCAGTTTCCTCATCCTGAAAATATATGCAATTTTGTCTTATTTTTATTTTATTTTTTGGTTTTGAAGGCTTTCCATTTTCATAAATTTTATTTTTATTTCAACAGTTTATGGAATACAGGTGGTTTTTGGTTACATGGGTAAATTCTTTAGCGGTGATTCCTGAGATTTTGGTGCACCAGTCATCCAAGCAGTGTACACTGTACCCAATATATAGTCTTCTGTTCATCACCCCTCTCTCACCCTCCACCTTGAGTCCTCAAAGTCCATTATATCGTTTTTAAGCCTTTTCATCCTCTTAGCTTAGCTCCCACTTATAAGTGAGAACATACAATATTTGGTTTTCCATTCTTGAGTTACTTCACCTAGAATAACATCTCCAGCTCCATCCAGGTTGCTGCAAAAGACATCATTTCATTCCTTTTTAAGGCTGAGTAGTATTCCATGGTGTGTATATACCACATTTGCTTTTTCTACTCGTTGGTTGATGAGCACATAGATTGGTTCAATATCTTTGCGATTGCAATTTGTGCTGCTATACGTGTGAATGTGTGCTGCTATACATGTGAATGTGTCTTTTTCATATGACTTATTTTCCTTTGGGTAGATACCCAGTAGTGGAACTGCTGGATCAAATGGTAGTTCTATATTTTGTTCTTTAAGAAATCTCCATACTGTTTTCCATAGTGGTTGTACTAGTTTACATTCCCACCAGCAGTGTAAAAGTGTTCCCTTTTCACCACAAGCATACCAACATCTATTGTTTTTGACTTTTTAATTATGCCCATTTTTGCAGGAGTAAAGTGGTATCTCATTGTAGTTTTAATTTGTATTTCCCAGATAATTAGCAATGTTGAGCATTTATTCATGTGTTTGTTGGCTGTTTGTATATCTTCATTTTAGAATTGTCTATTTTTGTTCTTTGCCTATTTTTGATGGGATTATTTGTTTTTCTCTTAATGATTTGTTTGAATTCCCTTTAGGTGCTGAATATTAGTCCTTTGCCAGATGCATAGTTTGTGAATATTTTCTCCCAGTCTGTAGGTTGTCTGTTTACTCCACTGAACATTTCTTTTGCTGTGCAGAAGATTTTACTTTAAGTAAGTTCCATTTATTTATTTTTGTTTTTGTTACATTTGTTTTTTGAGTCTTAGCTGTGAATTATTTTCCTAAGCCAATGTCTAAAAGAGTTTTTATGGTGTTCTAGAATTTTTATAGTTTTAGGTTTTAGATTTAAGTCTTTTAACAGTCTTGAATTGATTTTTTTATAAGGTGAGAGATGAGGATACAGTTTCATTCTTCTACATTGGCTTGCCAGGTTTCCCAGCACCATTTATTGAAAAGGATATCCTTTCCCCATTTTATGTTTTTGTTTGCTTTGTTCAGGATAAGTTGGCTGTTAGTATTTGGCTTTATTCATGGGTTCTCTATTTTATTCCATTGGTCTACATGCCTATTTTTATACAAGTACCATGCTCCATGCTGTTTTGGCAACAATAGCCTTATAAGATAGTTTGAAGTCAGGTAATGTGATGCCTCCAGATTTGTTCTTTTTGTTCAGTATTGTTTTGGCTATGTGGGCTCTTTTTTGTTCCCATATGAATTTTAGGATTTTTTTTTTCTAGTTCTGTGAAGAATGATGATGGTAGTTTATTGGGAATTGCATGGAATCTGTAGATTGCTTTGGGCAGTATGGTCATTTTCACAGTATTGATCATACCCATCCATGAGCATGAGATGTGTAAGCTATTTTGTATTGCAGTCAGCCAGTAAAAAGGATAAACTATAATAATGTAAAAGTACAATATATTTCTGTTAGAATATAGCAAATGGATTTAAAATTATCCAAACTCATTATACTGACACTCTTTTCAAATTATAAAGTGATTATTCACAATAGCAAAGACATAGAATCAATCTAAATGTCCACCAGTGGTAGACTAGATGAAGAAAATGTGGTATGTATACACCACGGAACACTATGCAACTATTAAAAAAAAGAGAGAGATTATGTCCTTTGCAAGAACATAGATGGAATTGGAGGCCATTATCCCTAGCAAACTAACACAGGAACAGAAAACCATATACCACATGTTCTCACTTGTAAGTGGGAGAAAAATGATGATGACACATGGACACATAGAGGGGAACAACAGTCACTGGGCTCATCAGAGCATGGGGGGTTAAGGAGGGAGAGGATCAAGGAAAAACAAATGAAAACTAGGCTTAATACCTGGGTAATGAAATAATCCGTACAACCAACCTGCAAGACACAAGTTTACCTATATAACAAACCTGCACATGTACCCCTAAATTTAAAAAGAAAGTTAAGAAAGTTATAAAGTGTTGTGTTAGAAGTAAAAAAAGTATAAATTTTAAACGTATTGAAAAGATTATTATCCAAAGTGGCAAGAGAAATATAAAAGCATAAGTAAAAAGCCATTAACATGCAGAGGAAACATAAAATATTTAAAACTATACAGCTTCATAAGTCAAGAGGTTTTATAATTCCAGAATACTTATTTCTTTCTCAGATGAAATGATAATATAGATATACCTGTATCTGTATATTTATGTATATGTATATACAATACAGCACTCCCTCCCTTATCCATGGTTTTAATTTCTACAGTTTCAGCTAACCACAGTCAACCACAATCTGAAAATATTAAACAAAAACTTTCAGAAAATAATCATAAGTGATAGATTGTGGCAATTCTGAGTAGTGCGATGAAATCTGTGCCATTAGTCACTTGGTAGCCATCTTGGTTATCAGATTCACTGTTCCAGTATCATGGTGCTTATGTTCAAGAAACCCTTATTTTACTTAATAATGGCCCTAAAGTACAAGAATAGTAATGATGGAATATTGTTACAATTAGTTTATTTTATTACTACTTATTTTCGTTAATCTCTTACAGTGCCTAATTAGTAACTTTTACTTTATAGTAGGTAGGCATGTATAGGAAAATCAGTATATACAGGCATACTTTAGAGCTATTACAGATTCAGTTCCAGATCACGGTAATAAAGTCAATATCACCATAAAGTGAGTCACACACATTGTTTTGGTTTCCCAGTGAGTAAAAAAGTTATTTTTACACTATACTTCTGTCTATTAAATATGAAGTAGCATTACCTCTTTAAAGAGACAATGTACATACCTTGATGAAAAACTATGTTACTGAATAATGCAAGTCAGCAAGATGGCTGACTAGAGACTCCTGGTACTCATCACTCCCACAAGAAAGAACCAAGGCAAATAGTAAACAACTAAGATTTGACTGGTGTGTCAAAGAGAGAGTGCTGAAATACAGCAGGGGTATAAAGATGTACCTGTAGTGATTAGAAGCCAGGAAGACAGCACTGAGGCACCAAACCTCTGCAGCCCTTTCTCTTCCACAGGGATTGGATGGATCATCCCAGAGACAGGAGGGACTTTTGTGTTCATTTGTTTTTGAAGACATGGTCTTTCTCTTTTGCCTAGGCTGGAGTGCAGTGGTGTGATCATGGTTCACAGCAACCTCAAATTCTGGGGCTCAAGTAATCTTCCCACTTCGGTCTCCCCAGTAGCAGGGACTAGAGACATGAACCACAATGCCTGGCTTTTTTTTTTTTTTTTTTAACATTTTATGTAGAGATAGAGTCTCCTTATGTTCCTCAGGCTGGTCTGGAACTCCTGGGCTCAAGCAATTCTCCTACCTCAGCTTCCCAAAGTGCTGGGTATATACCAAGTGCTGGGCATTATATACCATGCCCAACCAAGTTGGAAATTTTGGAGGTAATCAGAAGATCTCCAACAGCCCCCGTTGCCACTGTAAACACCTACGGGCCTTACTACAGGGAAGTTTTAGTCTTCCCAAGCCCCAAATCCACTTTGGAGATCTATTGGAAATTCACACAGCTGTATTGCCCCAGATTAGGAGAACGAGATGTGCACCACACCATAACTCCAACCCATGCCTTGTGAGCCAACCCCAAACCCAGTTTGGACATCTACTGAGAATTCACACAGCTGTATTGTCCCAGATTAGGAGAAGAAGATATGCACCACACCATACTCCCAACCCATGCCCTGTGAGCCAACCTGCTGCAACACAACACCATTTTGAGATCAAAGCCTGCTCTGGAAAGAAGCCTTCTCTGAGGTGCAGTAGTCACTGCACCTCTCCAGCTCTGAAGTTCCATCTTCATTATGTCAAACCCACACGGAGTTTGGGTCCAGGATTGACTCTGTGACTCTAGTCCTATACAGCAAGAAAACCAACCCCCATCACTGTACTTCCAGCTAGAGAAAAATGTGCTAGTCCCAGCCAGGGCAAATCCACTCTTGAGCCAGCCAAACTGTTCACATGCCATTCCCCAAGCTGGAGAGGCCCCTGAAACCCCCAAACAGTTAATATATCCCTGGGCCAGTGGAATAGCTACCAGCACCCCTGCTCAGGACCTGAGAAACAGCCATGCAGCACTCCTGCCCCCCACATACATGCCCTTGCTTGGCCAAAGGCCCTGCACCCCCAATAAGGCCCTGGAAAACTGTCTTATAGTCTGCCTCTGTGGGGTATGCCCCCCAGTCCAGCCAAGCAACTGTGCTGCCCTAACACAGGCCTGTGAAACACTTCTGTGCCCAGATTTACGGCACACCATAAAGTGAACAAATATTTGTATTATGGATATTCCAGAAGATGAACAGAAGGAAAAAGGTGAAGAAAACATAGCTAATAAGATAATAGCAGACAAATTCCCAAATCTTGGATGTGAGATGAATATGCAGGTCCAGGAAGGTCAAATAAACCTGAATAGATTCTATTCAAATAGGTCTTTTCTGAGGCACATTATAGTGTCAAATTAATTGTCAAAAATTAAAAACAAAGAAAGAATTTTGACAGCATCAGGAGAAAAGCCTCAAGTCACATGAAAGAAAACCCCCATTAGACTAACAGGGGATTACTCAAGCAGAAACCTTACAGACCAGGAAATATGGGATGGTATCTTCAAAGTACTAAAAGAAAAAAAAAAAAGCTATCACCCCAAGAATATTATCCACAGCAAAGCTAGTCTTCAGAAATGATGGATAAATAAAACCTTCCACAAACAAGCAAAAACTAAAGGAATTTATCGGCATTAGACCAGCTTTAAAAACAATGCTCTGCCAGGCGCGGTGGCTCACGCCTGTAATCCCAGCACTTTGGGAGGTCCAGGCGGGCAGATCACGAGGTCAAGAGATCAAGACCATCTGGCCAACATGGTGAAACCCCGTCTCTACTAAATATACAAAAATTAGCTGGGCATGGTGGTGCATGCCTGTAGTCCCAGCTACTCGGGAGGCTGAGGCAGGAGAATCGCTTGAACCTGGGAGGCAGAGGTTGCAGTGAGCCCAGATTGTGCCACTGCACTCCAGCCTGGCAACAGAGCAAGACTCCAAAAAAAAAAAAAAAGATGCCCAAGAAAGTCTTACATATGGAAATGAAAAGAAGATTGCCACCATCATGACAACATGTGATATTACAAAACTTACTGGTAGAGCCAATACACAAAGAAAGAGAAAATAATCAAATCAAATCACTACACAACCACCCAACCACAAAAATAAGCAATAAGATTGAAAGTGAGGAATAAAGGATATACATAACAAATAGAAAACAATCAGTAAAATCCCTGATGACTCACAAGGTGGTGGTTGCTGAAAGTTGGGGAGGCTGTGGCAATTACTTAAAATGAGAAATCAATAAAGTTTGCCACATTGGTTGACTCTTTGTTTCACAAAATATTTATCTGTATCATGCAAAATGTGGTCTGACAGCATTTTATTCATAGTAGAGCTTCTTTCAAAATTGGAACCAATCAGCCAGGCATGGTGGCTCATGCCTGTAATCCCAGCACTTTGGGAGGCTGAAGTGAGTGCATCATGAGATCAGGAGATTGGGACCATTCTGGCTAACACGATGAAAACCGTCTCTACTAAAAACACAAAAAACTAGACGGGCATGGTGGTGGGTGCCTGTAGTCCCAGCTACTTGGGAGGCTGAGGCAGGGGAATGGCATGAACCTGGGAGGTGGAGCTTGCAGTGAGCTGAGATTGCACCACTGCACCCCAGCCTGGGTGACAGAGCAAGACACAGTCTCAAAAAAAAAAAAAAAAAAGTTGTAACACCAATCCTCTTAAACCCTGCCACTGCTTTATTACTTACTAATATGCTTTGGTTGTGTCCCCACCCAAATCTCATCTTGAATTGTGCCACCCATAATCCCCACACGTCATGGGAGGGACATGGTGGGAGGTAATTGAATCATGGGGGTGGGTTTTTCCCTTGCTGTTCTGGTAATAGTGAATAAGTCTCATGAAATCTGATGGTTTTATAAAGGGCAGTTCCCCTGCACACTCTCTTGCCTGCAGTCATATAAGATGTGGCTTTGCTTCTCCTTCAACTTCCACTACAATTGTGAGGCCTCCGCAACAAGTCCATTGAACCTCCTTTTTTTATTAATTACCCAGTCTCAGGTATTTCTTCATAGCGGTATAAAAATGGGCTAATACACTAACTTCATTTAATATTCTAAATTATTTGTCATTCTAATGATGTTAACAGCATCCTCACCAGCAGTAGATGTCATCTTGGAAAATTCTTTATTTGCTCGTCCATAAGAAGCAATTTCTCATCTGTTCAAGGTTGGTTACGAAATTGCAGCAATTCAGTCACCCTCAGGCTCTACTTCCAGTTTTAGTTCTCTGCCTTTTTCCAGCATATCTGCAGTTACTTCCTCCACTAGAGTTGTGAACCCCTCAAAGTCATTCACGAGGATTAGGATCAACTTCTTCCAAACTCCAATTAATATTTATAATTCGACCTCCTCCCATGAATCAAAAATATTCTTAATAGCATCTAGAATGTTGAATATTTTCCAGAAGGCTTTCAATTTATTGTAACAAGATCCATCAAAGGAATCACTATCTAAGGTAGCTATAACATTACAAAATGTATTTCTTAAAAAATAAGACTTAAGGCCAGGAGTGATGGCTGATGCCTGTAATCCTAGCACTTTGGGAGTCTGAGTCAGGTGGATCACAAGGTCAGGAGTTCAAGACCAGCCTGGTCAATATGATGAAACCCCATCTCTACCAAAAATACAAAAATTAGCCGGGCATGGTGGTGCATGCCTGTAATCCCAGCTACTTGGGAGGCTGAGGCAGGAGAACTACTTGAACCCAGAAGGCGGAGGTTGCAGTGGGCCAAGATTGTGCCATTGCACTCCAGCCTGAGAGACACAGCGTGACTCCATCCCAAAATAAATGAATAAGTAGGTAAGACTTGAAGGCCAGGTGCAGTGGCTAACACTTGTAATCCCAGCACTTTGGGAGGCCTAAGTCGGGGGATCACCTGAGGTTGGGAGTTTGAGACCAGCCTGGTGAACAGGGTGAAACCTCATCTCTACTAAAAATACAAAAAAAAAAAAAAATTAACAGGAAATGGTGTCTGGTGCCTGTAATCCCAGCTACTCAGGAGGCTGAGGCAGAAGAATCACCTGAACCCAGGAGGTGGAGGTTGCAGTAAGCCAAGAGAGCATGTCACTTCACTCCTGCCTGAGCAACAGAGCTAGACTGTCTCAAAAAAAAAATAAATAAAAAATAAGACTTGAAATTTGAAATCACTCCTTGGTCCATGGGCTGTAAAATGGATGTCGTATTAGCAGTCATGAAAGCAACATTAATCTCCTTGTACATCTCCATCAGAACTTTAGGTGACAAGATGCATTGTCAATGAGTAGTAGTATTTTGAAAGGAATCATTTTACCTGAGTAGTAGGTCTCAACAGTGGACTTAAAATATTTAGTAAACCATGCTGTCAACAGATATTCTATCATCCAGGCTTTGTTATTCTACTTATAGAGCACAGGCAGAGTACACCGTATCTGTACACTTATTAAGGGCCCTGGGATATTTGGAATGGTAAATGATCACTGGCTTCACCTTAAAGTCACCAGCTACATTAGCCCCTAACAAAACCATCACTCTGTTCTTTCAACGAAGCTCTGAAGCCAGGCATTAACTCCTCTTGTATAGCCATGAAAGTCCCAGATGGCATCTTCTTTCATTAGAATGTTGTTTTGTCTACACTAAAAATCTGTTGTTTAATATAGCCACCTTCATCAATGATCTTAGCTAGATCTTCTGTATAATATATTGCAGCTTCTACATTAAAACTTGCTGGTTCACCTTGCACTTTTTTTTTTTTTTTTTTTTTTTTTTTGACAGAGTCTCACTCTGTTGTCAGGCTGGAGTGCAATGGTGAGATCTTGGCTCACTGCAACCCCCACCTGCTGGGTTCAAGGGATTCATTCTCCTGCATCAGCCTCAAGTAGCTGGGACTACAGGCGTGTGCCACCACACCCACCTAATTTTTGTATTTTTAGTAGAGATGGGGTTTCACCATGTTGGCCAGGGTGGTCTGGATGTCTTGACCTCATGATCTGCCTGCCTCAGCCTCCCAAAGTGCTGGGATTACAGGTGTGAGCCACCACGCCTGGCCCACCTTGTACTCTTTATGGTGATAACTTCTGCCCTTAAACCTCATGAACCCTCATCAACCCTTTCTGATTGAAACCTCATCAACCCTGCTAGCTTTCAACTTTTCTTCTGCAGCTTCCCTACCCTCTCAGTTTTCACAGAGTTGAAGACAGTTAGGACCGTGGTCTAGATTAGGCTTTGGTTTAAGCTAATGTTGCAGCTGGTTTCATCTTCTATCCAGACAACTAATATTTCCTCCATATCAGTAGTTAGGCTATTTCACTTTATCATTTATATGTTCACTGGAGTAGCACTTTTAATATTCTTCAAGAACTTTTCCTTTGTATTCACCACTTGACTAATTACTTATCACAAGAAGCCTAGCTGTTGGCCCATCTTGGTTTTTGACATGCCTTCCTCACTAAGCTCAATTATTTCTAGTTTGATTTAAAATTAAACACATGTGACTCTTACTTTCACTTGAACACTTGGCCGTTATTGTAGCATTATTAATTGGCTTAATTGCAATATTGTTGTGGCTCAGGAAACAGTGAGGCCCAAAGTCAGGGAGAGAAGCTGAGGAACAGCAGGTCTGTGGAGCAGTCAGAAAACACACAACATTTATCAATTAAGCTTGCCATCCTATATGGGCACAGTTCATGGTGCCCCAAAACATCTAAAATATTAATCGAAGGTTACTGATCACAAATTACCATACATAAATAAAGTTTTAACTATCACGAGAATTATCAAAATGTGACATGGAGACACAAAGCAGGTATACATTGTTGGAAAAATGGTGCCAATAAACCTTCAATTGCCAAAAAAGAATAAAACCCCACAATATCTGCAAAGATCAATAAAACAAATGAAATAAGCTATGCTTGTATAAGGCTTGTATCTGAAGTTTTTTTTGTTTTGTTTTGTTTTTTTTTTGAGACAGAGTCTCGCTCTTTCACTCAGGCCAGACTGCAGTGGCTCTATCTCGGCTCACTGCAAGCTCCGCCTCCAGGGTTCACGCCATTCTCCTGCCTCAGCCTCCTGAGTAGCTGGGACTACAGGCGCCAGCCAGCGCGCCCGGCTAATTTATTATATTTTTAGTAGAGACGGGGTTTCACCGTGTTAGCCAAGATGGTCTCGATCTCCTGACCTCATGATCCGCCCGCCTCGGCCTCCCAAAGTGCTGAGATTACAGGCGTGAGCCACCGCGCCCGGCCTGGTACTATCTATCTGAAGTTTTAGGCATCCATTGGAGGTCTTGGAATACATCCCCCATGGATCAAGGGGTACTACTATATCATATGTTTATATATATGTGTATTTATGTATATACACAGCCCTACACATATGAGGTATGTATATACATAAATGTGTGCATATACATATATACACACATATATATGCATGTGTGTAGAGATATATATATACACATACATAGTTACATACACATAAATATATACAAAACACACATACACATGCCTAGAATCTACATAGAGAAATTTAGTAGAAAAAGGAGGTATAATAAAGTTATTACATTTCTTTAATTCTCCAGATGTTCTTGAAGAGCAACTGGATTAGAAACCGTAGATCTAGTGAATGGTTTATTTTTTAGGTAAGCATATTGAGTCCGGAATAGGGAAATAATTTTCATAATTATTCATGCATTTATATATTTAAAATTTATTTTTGGCCTATTTTGGGGAGAAACAGAAAACTTCTATCAGGGACTGTAAACACCATGAAGACAAGCAAAGACACAGAAAGGGATGAAATATGACATTGTTGCAAGCTTTGGATATATTTTAGAGAGGGTCTAGACTGTAACTTTATGATGTGGGGATATCAGAAACAATATCTGATGAAGTGATGTAAAATGACACTGAGAATTATTTTCAGCGAGCCACTTTTAAAGATGAGCAGACAACGAAGATTGTCTTTATTATGTCAGAAATCAATTGACCATATATATGTGAATCTGGTTCTCAACACTTTATTCCATTTTATTAATTGAAGTGTATTTTTTTACCCAATATTTCACTATCTTGGTTATTTTAGCTTTGTGGTAAGTCCTAAACTCAGTCCCATTCACAGATTGTGTAAACATTCCAAATTTATTCTTCGTTTTCAAAACTGTTTCGACTCCGTTTTTTTTTAATTTTGCATATAAATTGTGGAATCAATTTCTCAATTTGTACAAAAAATTCTTAATTTTAACTAGAATTGCATCGAATCTATAAATCAGTTTGGGATTTTAATTAATAGATAGTTCACAGTTAGGCTGCCTTCCAGTATCAACTTTCTTTTCTTTATATTTTACATACAGATTTCAGAAACCAATATTTCCTATCTACCAATATACAATCTCTGGGTATGGAACCTAGCTAGACATTTATGTATTTTCCATAATTTCCCCAAGACTTACTTATGTACATAGCTGGGTAGTAGCTTATACATTAGTATGTAGAATCCCCAAGACAAGACTAAATTCAACGCAAAAAGTTTGACCTTTATCTCTGCCAGAGGTCTTATATTCTAAGGTCCTATTATATAGAACATTATTATCTGTACACTATTCCATCTCTCCTGTCAATATTTCCTATTCATGTATTCATCTTTATCTCTTCTCAAGGGATAGAACACTCAAGGTGTCTAAATCTGCTTCTCATACAACTTAGAATTATAGCACTTTAAAGTCAAAAAAGTAAACTTTATTAAAGACTGTAAATCCTGTCATGAGTTGCGCTTCCATATTATTTTATTACATGTCTCCAGGATTTCCAGAGAATGTGCATGGTATATTCCCAGAAAAAGGAAACTGGAAATCAGAGAATTTCTCATCTTACTGGCATCAGAGCTGGGACTATGTCTTGTATCATTAGGATTCTTTTCCACCGAGGGATCACTTTTTTTTTTTTTTTTTTTTAGCCAGAAGCCAAGGTTCTTTCAGGTAATCATTTTCATCATGTAGTTCATTACTCCAGAAACATTCACTTGCTTACTATTTTAAAAGTATTCTTGATACATTTCTGTCCCAGAAAAGAATTAGTGTGTGTTTTCAATGGGCCATCCCTGAGGACTTGAAGAGCTTGAGAAGCCGGTATAAGAATCCACATGTATAATATTTATCATGTATCTAATTTAGCGAGCAGCTTATTTCCACAGGTAGGAGGAAAACCTCTTTATTACATATAACACATTATAGAAGCTATATTATATTTGAAAATATATGCTTTAATATTTAAATATAAAAGGATTCTATTAATCTCAAAAATTTTACCACAAATTAAATCATATGCCTTCTAGGATATATACCACAGAAAATATAAAGGACTTCCTACATATTTTCATGAATAGAGCCATAAATTAGAAATTTGTTTTATTTTTTTTCTGATGAATAGTCAAAATAGGGGCAGCAGGATTAAGGGACAATGTTTCATATTTAGAAAAATTATTAGATACAGAGAAAATTAACTTTCAACTAGCTTTTGGGTATATTTCATTTTGGGTTCAATTTATTTTATTTTCTGATATAGGAATACCAGAAAAGTTAAGTTTATTGTAAAAGTTAGGTAATTGACTAAGAAGCAAGTTTAGTTATTATTTTAAATTTTCATATTCTATTTAAGCTTAATATCTTTAAATAATTTAATAACACAAAAATTCTATTTTACATAGTTTCTAGGACATAACATTTCTAAAACTATGGCAGGTTACATCAGGGTTGCACTGTGGTTCTATTAAAATATTGATTTTGTAAATTCCTGTTTATATTATTATATAAATAAAAATTTTAAGTCATATATGTATGCATTATTCACATGTAATTAAAAAATTATTTATTAAAATTGATCTTAATGCATCTCATAAAAAAGAACTGTGCAATCACCTCATGTTTATGCAGTTGAATGAGGTATATGTGAAAGTTTCATCCAATCTTACTTATCCTTTAGTTTGGAAGGAGAAGTAATTTTTCCAAGCTTATGCTGCTAAACATGACATTTAAACATAGAGTTTTAGAGTCCAAATATAATTCCCAGTATTCTACAGTTGCCTTATTTCAGATATCTTAGGAAAATAAAGTCTGGAATTGTAATGTAGCTGACCTTTCTCCTCTATGTGGTGGTAAACATGTATTTTGTAATGGACTCCTTTGGTAGATTATTAGCACATTTTTCAAAATTCACTGGCATTTTTTTTTTGAATCGTGCTTCTTCTTATCTGGCTAATTCCTGTTTGTTCCTGACTCTTGTCAGTAAACGTTTGTATATATCCCATTGATTCTTCTAACACAGAAAGAAAGAGAGAGAAAGAGAGAGAAAGGAGAAAATATAGGAGAAAGAGAGGATAGGAATTTGTATAAGAGAACTATATTTTTTATGACTCAAAAATACATTAATTCATATTTAAAATATTTATTGATAACTTTATAAGCTATTTTATTCACATAACACAAACAAAATTACTTAATATATTTGTGTATGTGTGTGTTGTCATGAGTAATATGTAAGTAGTCTGGATTTACACAGAAAGTGGAATTTAACTGAATTATATCTTTTGCTGTAGAATTTTCTAAGAATCAAATGAGAATTTTTGTTTCGTTCTGTAGTCCCTCATTTATGAGGGTATTTATTTTGTATATTAAAAAAATCTTCCACATGGATCTGTTAGGACATTTCTATAATAATATATATAAACACTTGGCCTTTTTTTTTCTTTCTAAAAGTGGTTTTAGTCTTATTTGTTCATTCTCTTCTTAATGTGTGGTCATCTTAACATGACAAAATTTTGGTATGTCTCACATCATGAATATAAATCATTTGTAAGTCACTGAATTCAGAATGGACCTGCATATGACAGAGTTGTCACCCCTTTTAAAACTTTCATAATCTATGACATGATAAAAGAAAAACAAAGTCACCTTGCTTAAATCTCCCCTCTAATTTTACCTCTAAATTTAGTGTATGTAGTACTAAACCGTTTCAATAACAGGTTTTCAGTCTAGATACAGAAGTCCCTGTAACCTTGTTACCTTTTTTCTTTTAATTATTTATTTATTTTTGGTTGTGTAATTGTCTTTCTTCATACTTGTCAATGTGAAACAGAATGATACCATCAGGAAAGAAGTCCAGAGGACAAACACTACTTTCTTGCAAATATAGTAATGTTATTTTTTAGCCAGATATTCTATAATTTTTATTAGTTATTATTGGTGATTTTTATTTCATAGTAATTTTAGAAACTCTAAAAGCAACTATAATATACTAAAAGAATGGCCATGATTTATTTTTAACAGAAATATAAAATAAAATAAAATAAAATACATCCAAGGACTTTGCAAAAATAACAAACATATGAATTATTAGTAAGATATATCTCACATTGTTATTAAGTTGAAATTTAAAAACAGTTATGATAAACAAGGTACAGAGGCCAAAATTTGCCAACTAGGTGATATATATTTCAGGAAGAAAAAATCCTGAAAATAAAACACATTGTAATGTTTGTAAAGGTACGTCTATCTCCAGAATACAGTCTGCTCTTCTATGTAATGGAACAAGATAATTGCCAGAACAGAGGACATGAAATGGTTTTATTTAAAAAGGCTGCTGCATGCGACAAGTTGAAATGTATGTCTGACTTATCCCCATTTTCTAGTCATTTGGAAGCCTTTTAAATTAAATAGTTTTGATATTTTTAAACATTTAAATTCAACTGTGCTGTGAGTGTGGTTTCTCTTATTTTAAAATTGTGAACATTTACAAAAGACATTTCATGTACTTCATCACAAATCTAAAAGTGTACTCAAGTGTGTGCTTTCCACTATAACATATTTAGTTTTAAATATTTCTACATTCAGCAATCTTTGTGAGCTTTAGGACATAATATGAGAGGAAGCAGTAAAAATTTCAACTGAAAATTAACTGGAAAATAAAATCACTTTAATTAGCAGGGTTTTTTAAAAACATGATAAATTTAGCCAAGAAATTAATTACATATTTTTTTTCCTTTTACTTATACAGTGAAATTCATCTATTTGGCTCCAATTACTTCATCATTGTCTATTCCATTACTATCAGGGAAATTATTATGCCCCAAGAAAAAAACAAGGATACAATTGAATGGACTCCACTTTCACAGGCTATAACCTTTATAACCTGCAAGTAAAAACTGAAATGGACAAGTTGTCATCAGGTTTGGATATATACAGGAATCCACTGAAGAACAAGACTGAAGTCACCATGTTTATATTGACAGGCTTCACAGATGATTTTGAGCTGCAAGTCTTCCTATTTTTACTATTTTTTGCAATCTATCTCTTTACCTTGATAGGCAATTTAGGGCTGGTTGTGTTGGTCATTGAGGATTCCTGGCTCCACAACCCCATGTATTATTTTCTTAGTGTTTTATCATTCTTGGATGCTTGCTATTCTACAGTTGTCACTCCAAAAATGTTGGTCAATTTCCTGGCAAAAAATAAATCCATTTCATTTATCGGATGTGCAACACAGATGCTTCTTTTTGTTACTTTTGGAACTACAGAATGTTTTCTCTTGGCTGCAATGGCTTATGATCACTATGTAGCCATCTACAACCCTCTCCTGTATTCAGTGAGCATGTCACCCAGAGTCTATGTGCCACTCATCACTGCTTCCTACGTTGCTGGCATTTTACATGCTACTATACATATAGTGGCTACATTTAGCCTGTCCTTCTGTGGATCCAATGAAATTAGGCATGTCTTTTGTGATATGCCTCCTCTCCTTGCTATTTCTTGTTCTGACACTCACACAAACCAGCTTCTACTCTTCTACTTTGTGGGTTCTATTGAGATAGTCACTATCCTGATTGTCCTCATTTCCTGTGATTTCATTCTGTTGTCCATTCTGAAGATGCATTCTGCTAAGGGAAGGCAAAAGGCCTTCTCTACATGTGGCTCTCACCTAACTGGAGTGACAATTTATCATGGAACAATTCTCGTCAGTTATATGAGACCAAGTTCCAGCTATGCTTCAGACCATGACATCATAGTGTCAATATTTTACACAATTGTGATTCCCAAGTTGAATCCCATCATCTATAGTTTGAGGAACAAAGAAGTAAAAAAGGCAGTGAAGAAAATGTTGAAATTGGTTTACAAATGAAGAATATATTTAAAATTGAGTAAACCTGAAAAAAATGTTGAGTGTCAGAGTTCACATCTCTATATTTTAGTTAAAGTATTTGCATATCAAAGAATAGTTTCAAAAAAGCATTAAGCAGCCTGCCAATGCAGCATTTTTCAAATGTAAACAAATTGCATCACATATTTGCCAATTAATTTGTTCAGAGATCTATATTAAATATTATTTGATATAAATATATTGTTATTGTTACCAACCACACACTACTAACAACAGCTTTCACAGTAAGTAAAAATCAGTTACACACTTATAACTAGTAAGTGAATCCTACAGAATCCTGGGAATTGATAAATGCTTACATGGCTGATAAAAAGTTTTTGCATTCATTGTGGAGTTACTTCCTCAATCTATAAGCCCTAAGAAGAAATATCCAAATTTTACTTTACTTTCCCTAAATGTGCCTTCATAAACTGAGATCTACTCAAGCTTCCAAACATGCCTTTTGCTGTGTTTATATCTACATCATAAATTCTTTCCACAATTAAATGCTTTCCTTGCCCCTTTTCAACCACAGAAGCTGATTGTAGTCATTGTGAAACTATATTGGTTGTGAATGCTAATATTTATTGAGAGTGTTCTGAAGGCTCAGGAAACACTATACCCCAGGAATGAAACTATGACATATGTATAAATGACTGCTCTAAGGTCTGACAAACTAGCATATCCTTGCTCACTTCGTAGTCCTGCCATTATCTTCTATCTACTTTACCTGTAAGAAATGACTGCAATGTCATCCTTCCACAAAATTTACACCTAGTGAGCAAGCCCACAGAATGGAAATTATTTTGCTTTACCTCTACTCACATCTGGCTTTACTTTACGTATTCTGCTTTAGTAAGTTTTGTTAAAACATTTATTTGAAGATTCATTAAAAGTGGAAATTAATTGTTTTTTCAAAAAACACACACTTGTCCCTCCAAGGATATTTTTATGTGAATTAACCAGAATGATCCAATCATAACATAGTAGCCACACTGAAAATTTCAGACATCAGTTTCTAATCTTTACTAATCAATTATGCAAAGAGAACCCAACCCTCTTTTTTTGAATAAGCAAATGCTTGCAGTCAAAATCTGTACTAAATTTCCTCTTAAAAAAATAAATCTATTTTTAGATACAAAACCCTGATTACACTGTAGACAAAATTTTCTTAAAAAAATAAGCTATTTGAATTACAGAATCTTAAAATGTAGTTTCCTGTGTATGATCTTTTGGGGAGAATGTTCTGGAAGAAAATTTAATATGCTTCAAAAATGTGTCTAAATAAATAGCTGTCTCACAAAATTTAAAATTTCTGCAGAATTCCAGAATCATTTATTTTTTTGAGGGTTTTTCAAATTATGGTGTCAAAATTGTTAGGTAACGTTTTAGTCAAGGTTGCTATCTCTTTTTTTGTTTTGTTTCTCTTTCAAATTAGCAAAAATAGTCATTCTTTGAGAAAGGAATAGGCGAGCATTAGGTAAAATGATGCACTGACATATGCCTAAAAATATCTGGTTAACAATGCATTCAACAAACTCATTCAGAACTTGTCAAGTTAACCATCATGAAAAGTTCACTATCTCTCTTTTTATCCTAATCGATTAGAAAACAAATGGTGTGAATAAGCAGTCTCGAATGACCTGCTATTTGTTCAGGTCAAGGTGAGAAAAATGGTATATTTAACTCTCAAGTCAATAGAACATTTTGTTACATATCTCAGCTCAATTACCTTTCCCCCCAAAAGAATGATTTGACTCACTATGACCCCATGGAGCCTCTCTCACTTATCACAGTTGCCATTTAGCATGTGATGTTGTGATTTTATAATATATTATCCAGATCTACCATGATGCTGACATTGTAACTTGCATAAAAACATGCATTGGGCATATTTGTCCTCAAAATTGTATCCCTGAGTCCTAAAAGAGTACCTAGAACTTATGGTTTGCTGACAAAATATTTATTAAATAAATAGTGAGTACATGAATGAATTATATTTAATACTAATAATTAACATATGCTTATCAGGTACTGGACAATCATGTAAAAGTTTTTACTATATTAACTTATGTAATTCTCATAACTTCAGGAAGTGGTTGTAGTAATATCTTTTAACAAAGTTGAGGAAACAGCAGCACATAAATTTTAAGGAATTTGCTCAATGCCACATAGCTCTAAAGGGTGATGTCAGGATTCACATCTAAGCTGTCTGGTTACAGAGTTCCTGTTTTTAAGCTTGTTATACATGGAGTGAAAGAACAGATTTATCTTTTCACTTTACCAACTTTATTAGTTATCCTCCAGAGAGCATTATTGAGAATACTGAAGCTCCTCATTAAGTCTGTGGCAGAAATAAGAAGAAAAAGGAATGCATTTTAAAAGTACTGAAAATGTGGTTTCCACTGATTTGGCCATTCATTCCATTCATTGAGATGTAGAAGTTTCAAGAAATCAGTATGTCAAAGAGATATCCGTACTCTTATGTTTATGGCAGCATTATTTGCAGTAGCCAAGATATGGAATGAACCTAAATGCCCATCTACAAATGAATGCATAAAGAAAATGTCACACAAACACACACACACACACACACACACACAATGGAATACTACTGAGAAATAAAATAGAATGAAATCCTGCCATTAATGACAACATGGATGAATAAGTGAGTGAAATAAGCCAAGCACAGAAATACAAATACTGCACAATCTCACTTATATGTAGAATAATAATAATAATAATAATAATAAACAACTTGATTTTATAGAAGTAAAAAGTAAGTGAAAAGTGGTTATCAGAAGCTAAACAGGGTAGTGGAGACAAATTAAATGAGGTTGGTTGATTGATATAAAATAACAATTAAACAGGAAAAGTAAGTCCTGATGTTTTATTACACAGTAGGGTGACTGTGGCAGTAACAGTGTAGTATGTATTTTAAGATAGCTGGCAAAGAATATTTTAAATGTTATTCCACAAATAAATGATAAATGTTTAAAGTGATGGATATCCTAATTACCTTGATTTGACCATTTTACAATGTATACATGCATTGGAACATCACAGTGTACGCCATAAATAAATATATACCATTCTTTTCTGTCAATTATAAATTTTAAAATTAATTAAAAATAAAAGTTATTGGAAGTGAAATTTCATCTGGATTTGACAATTCATTTTATTTATTGAGACCTTTTGAATTTGCAAGTTTTGAGCCTATATGATAAAACAAGACAAATATAAAAAGTAAAAGTGAGAGAGAAAAAAAAGACAGAGAGAGACGAGACAGACAGAAAAAGGAGAAGGAAGGAAATAGGAAGGGGACACACTGGAGAGATGAATATTGTAGAAGTTGAGTGGTTAAGATCAGTTATATGTATACTGATTCTGAGGTTCCATTACATTTTTAATGCACAGAACTAAAACTCCAGAAGAATATTACAGTGGTGAGTGGAGAGTTATCCAGAAAAGAAACATTTGAAATCGCAGTATTGGGTGGGATTTTAAATGATATACAGAACCTCTACTTCCACACAGAATTTGGAAAGCAGCAAAGTAAATTCTTCTCATTCTAACAACTTAAAAAGCCAAGTAATCTTCAAAATTATAGCTTTTCATGAGTCTATCAGAGAACCAAGGTTCAAAACATCCAAGAAATCTGAATTCCAAAGAAGACCAAGTTACTTCAAATGTAGATGAGATGCCTGAGCATCTCTTTCTTTCACTGTGGGCACAGAGTATGAGATATATTTGTTCACCATACAGATAGGAAGAAATTACTGGCTATATACCCAAAAGATTATAAACCATTCTAGTATAAAGAGACATGCACACTTATGTTTATTGCAGCACTATTCACAATAGCAAAGACTTGGAACCAACCCAAATGCCCATCAATGATAGACTGGATAAAGAAAATGTAGCACATATACACCATGGAATACTATGCAGCCATAAAAAAAGGATGAGTTCATGTCCTTTGCAGGAACATGGATGAAGCCGGAAACCGTCATTCTCAGCAAATTAACACAGGAACAGAAAACCAAACACTGCATGTTCTCACTCGTAAGTGGGAGTTGAACAATGAGAACACATGGATACAGGGAGGGGAATATCACACACCAGGGCCTGTTGGGGGATGGGGTGCCAGGGGAGGGATAGCACTAGGAGAAATACCTAACGTAGATGATGGGTTGATGGGTGCAGCAAACCATCATGGCACGTGTATAACTATGTAATAAACCTCGTGTTCTGTGCATGTATCCCAGAAGTTAAAGTATAGTTTAAAAACAGAGGAAATCAGCTTAAAATTAAGTAATTTTAAAGGCCAAGTGAGAGTTATTGGGAAAAGCAGGAAGTCCTAGAATAAAGTTTGCATTCACTCCCAAGGTTTTCTCTGCAGGCCCCCAACAAGCATTTACAAAAAAAAAAAAAAAAAAAACAAATAAAATTAACGTCTTCAAATATCGTTATTCCTCGTTGTCTTTGAGTAAAGAGCATGAAAATTACTAGAATAAATGCTTTAGTGGAGAGGGTAAACACCATGCATGAATATGTGAGAAATATCAGAGATGGAAAATATATGGAAGTATTCAATAAAATTCTATAAATAAAAACTCATGCTCACAGTCACAATATCTGAGACAAAGAATTTCTTTCACAAGTTTATCAGTAGATTCAGTAACTTGAGAAAAGTATTAGTGAACTTAAAGATAAAGCAACATAAATTAACCAGAGAGAAAAGTTAAAGAAAAAATATGGAATTAAAAGTTATCAAAGAACTGTAGGGCAACATCAAACAGTCCAATATACATACAGTTAGTGTTTCAGAACAAGAATCAAGGGAGAATGGGTCAGAATAAACATTTGAAGACAAAATGGTCAAGAATTTTCTAAAAATAAGAGAACATAAAATCACAGGTACAAAATACTCAGGAGACCCAAGGAAGGATGTGTTAATCAGGGTTCTCCAGAGAAACAGAACCAACAGGATGTATGGGGGAGGAGGGGGATGAAGGATTCATTACAAGGAATTGGCTCATCTGATTTTGGGAGGCTGGCAATTTCAAATTCTACGGGGTGGGTCATTAGGCTGGAGATCCAGGATTATTGATAATCTACTCGGAACCCATGGGCAAAGTGCTGTAGAACCAGGAAGAGCTGGTGACGTAGACAAGATCTGAAGGCAGTCTGCTGGAGAATTAGCTCTTGCTCTGGAGAGGCTAGTTTTTTGCTCCATGCAAACCTTCATCTAATTGAGTAAGGCCAACCCACATTATGGAGGTCAATAGGCATTCCTCAAATGCCACCAATTTCAATGTTAATCTCTCCCAAAACATCCTTAGAGTAACAAACACATTAATGTCTGACCAAATGTAAGCACATCATAGCCCATTTAAGTTGACACATTAAAATTAATCAATATAAGTGTACCCCTTGTCAACCTGGCAGTCATATATATCCCCTTAAAACATACTTGATCTCCAAATGAAAACAAAAATAAGGTCAAACTTCTACCTAACATGATATTTCCATTCTTAATAAAATCAAAACTGTTCTCACCCTTTCCCCTAGAAGAGGATGAAAAGTCCTTAGATGATGTTTACTTTTTTTCCTTGATATTCCATACCTCAAGCACTATGCTGTAAAGTGGACTATATTTAAACAATGTGATGGAAAGCCAATGCACTCTATGCAGTAGTCCATTTTTTGCCTCTAAAACAGAATACCTGAGACTGGGTCATTTATAAAGGATAAAAATTTGTTTTCCCACATTTCTGGAGACTGAGAAGTCCAAGATTAAGGTGGCAGCATTTACTGTCTGGTGAGACCCTTCTTGCTGCATCCTCACATGGCAGAAGGTGGACAGGAAAGGGAGCAAGCTAGCCAACTGCTGAACGAAGCCTTTCATATAAGCCTTAATTTCATTAACAAAGAATGAGTTGTAAGGACAGCCTAATCACCTCTTAAAGGTCTCACTTCTTGATGCTACCAAATTGGCAACACCTGAATTTTGGAGGAGACACATTTAAAATATAATATTTTGCCCCAGGACTCCAAAATTTATGTCCTTCTCACATAAAAAATACATTTGTTCCATCTGAATAGCACCCCAAAATCCTAACTCATTCCAAAAGCAATTCAAAATTTAAAAATCTAGAGTTTTATTTAAATCTGCTCATGTATGGGAAGAGTCAATATTGTAAAACTGACCATACTGTCACAGGTTACTTGGGGTGTTGGTTTGCCAGCTTGAAACCTCTGTGGCCTTATGCCTGAGTATTGCTCACACCCGCTGGACTCATTTTATTAACTCTGCCTGGCAGTCCGCCCTTGGCCTGAGCTCCTGGCCCAGGACCCACATCTGCCAAGGGCAAGCCAGGTGCAGAGTGGCAAGGAGTATAGGAGCAAGTGGGAATAAGGTCCAGCCACTCCACACAGCCAGGCACACTGGCTGCTGCAGCTGAGCAGGCAGCTCCAGGTGCAAGCACAGGTCCTGGCTCTGTGCGAGGCTGTGGCTGGATCAGATGTATCACAAGCAGCTTCCACTGTGGGTACCTGCATCTGAACAGGGGGAGTGTGGTGGTGTCTGAAAGCTTGGAAATGTCAGAAACCATAGAGCCCCAAAGAGGACGTTATAGCCCTGGCCTGGGGAGACACTAGGTCTGGGCTCCCCAAAGGGCTGCAGCTCCTCCTCTAAATCATTGCCTGCAATGTGGTGGTTGGGGGGATGGGGGGTAGCAGGGGGCATGTTTCTGCCCTGTTTGTGTTACAGCTCTTTCAGTCCCATCATTTGGTGGTCCCAAGTTCTTGTCCCACATCCAGGAAGAATGAGGCACATTGACAACTGGAGGGTGAACAAGGCAGAGAAGAGCTTCATTGAGCAACAGAATAGCTCTAAGGAGACCTGCAGTGGGTAGCTTCTTTCCAAAGGCAGGTCATCCTGACAAGTGTCCAGCTCTCAGTGGAGACGAGACCCATAGTTGTTAGCTCCTTTCCATAGGCAAGTCGTCCTAGTGAGTCAAGGAGACCCAAAGTTGGTAGCTCCTTCCTGCAGCTGGTAGTTGGATTTCTGTCCAAGTCTGGCTGAGTCCAGGGTTTTCATGGGCTCAGAAAGAAGAAAGTGCATGCTGATTGGCCCATGGGTGGCCATGGAAGGACCCAGAAAAAGCAATATAAGTTCTCACTCCAGGCCATAGACTCCACCCAGAACTGGCAGCCCAGGCCCCTAGGCTTCAGGCCATCCCTGGCTTGAAGGTGGGTGGAGACATGCCTCTTTCTGCCCAGGAATTTGTCTGTCTCTCACCATCCAAGGCACCCAGGCTGTTTGTGCCAAGGAGTTCCTGCAGGCCAATGGCAACCCACCCTCAGCACCCCCCACAGCCTCCCTCCCATGCTCATTGGTGCCCAAAGTCCACAGGATGCCAAGGCAGCAGGGGGCTGGTGTGCTAGTTTGCACACACCTACCTGGGTTGCAATAGTGCCCAGGCTTGACCACAACGTTGCTATTCCTTGGAGTGGGAGCCAGGAGTTAGGAGAGGTGGGTAGCAAGAGCAGGCACTTTAAAGCCTGTAGGGGCAGGGGGTCTCCTGGGCACCCAAGCACAGGAATGCCCAGGTCTGGAGCCACAGCTGGGTGGCTGCAGCTGTGCCTGGGAATACAGGGTTCCCACCCTGCCAACTTGTTACGGGGCAGGGCTCCTGCCTGTTCCTGGCCCACTCTGGCTCTGTGGAGCACAAAGCCCCAGCTGCCTCCCCTGCTGCAGCCGTTGTCTTTGCAGCGGCTACTCCATATGGACTGCCGTTGCCATCAATACTGCCCAAAGCAATATACAGATTCAATGCAATTTCTGTCAAAATGTCAACTTTTTCACAGAATTAGGAAAAACAATCCCAAAATTCATATGGAACCTAAAAACAACCCAGCTAGCCAAAGCAATCCTGAGCAGAAAGAACTAATCTGAAGGCAACACATTACTGAACTTAATATTATACTATAAGGCTATAATAACAAAAACAGTGTGTACTGGTACATACAAAAAAAGTATGTATCCATTCTTATGAATGGATATGTAGACAGATGGAACACAGAGAACCCAGAAATAAAGGCAAATACTTACAACCAAGGCTATAGTAACAAAAAAAGCATGTACTGGTATAAGAATAGATACATAGACAGATGGAACACAGAGAACCCAGAAATAAAGGCAAATATTTACAAGCAAAACTATAGTTAACAAAAAAAGCATGTACTGGTATAAAAATAGATACATAGACATATGGAACACAGAAACCCCAGAAATAAAGGCAAGTACTTAAAACCAACTGATCTTTAAGAACGCATACAAAAATGTAAACTGAGCACAAGACACCCTATTTAATAAATGGTGCTGGGAAAACTGGATATCCACATGTAAAAGAATGAAACTGGATTCCTATATCTCACCATATACAAAAATCAACCTAAGATGGATTAAAGATTTAAATCTAAGACCTGAAACCATAAAACTTTTAGAAGAAAACCTAGAAAAATCTCTTTCGGGCATTGGCCTAGGCAAATAATTTATGATTGGGATCCCAAAATCAAATGCAACAAAAACAAAAATAAATAAATGGGACCTAATTAAGCTGAAACGCTTCTGCACAGCAAAAGAAATAATCAACAGAGTAAACAGACAACCCACAGAATGGGAGAAAATATTTGCAAACTATGCATCCAACAAAGGACTAATATCCAAAATCTACAAGGGATACAAATCAGTAAGAATAAAAACAAATAATACTACCAAAAAGTAGGCAAATGACATGAATAGACATTTCTCAAAAGAAGATATGCAAATGGCCAACAAACATATGAAAAACTGCTTAACATCAATAATTATCTGCTAAATGCAAATCGAAACCCCCATGAGAGATCACCTTACCCCAGCCAGAATGGCCATTATTAAAAAGTCAAAAAACAATAGGTGTTGGTGTGGATGTGGTGAAAGGGAATGCTTATACACCACTGGTGAGAATGTAAATTAGTTCTATGTCTATGGAAATCAGTATGGAGATTACTCAAAGAACCAAAGTTTATTTTGGTGAGCAATGTATCTTTTGGACTTTTCCAGTTTGGGTTGGTAGATGTTAACAGGCAAATTCACTTCAACTTTTCAATATCTTTAACCCTTTAAATCCATGTTTCTACAGAAAAATAAAAGCAGGGACTTCACATTTAACTCACTGTGGGCTACCTTTTGGTCCATGTTTTAGCCAAACAAAAAATGTGTTAGAGTCTTTTCTCACTCTTTGAGCTGCAACATTAAATGCACTATCTCTGCTTACTGGATTTGTATCAAAAAATTTGGTCTCATCCAGTATTATATTCCTTTCATCATTATCTTACATCCTTAATATCCATTTCCAAACATATTCTCTGAATTTCAGCCTGTATATGTTAGGAAACTCAAATACTTCTTTTAGAGTATAGCACACCTCTACATAGTTTACACTTTGTCCCTCACCTATAGGACCCTGTTGGCATGATCATTGCTCTCTGCAGCCTCAACCTCCCAGGCTCAAGTGATCCTCCCATCTCAGACCTCTTAAGTAGGTGGGAACATAGGCATTTGCCACCACGCTATTTTTATTTCTTTGTATATATATATGGGTTCTCACTATATTGCATAGGTTAGTCTTGAACTCCTGGACTCAAGTGATCCTCCCACCTTGGCCTCCCAAAGTGATGAGATTACGGGTGTGAGCCACCACATCCAGCCTCATTAGTGTCTTTAAAACTAATCATATTAGACAGCCAATTCCAGAAATACCAGAGCTACTAATTGTAAAGGTTAGCAAGTCCAACATTTGTAGGGTGAGTTGGCAGGCAGGAGACCCAGAAGGGCTACTGTTTCAGTCTGAGTCCATAAGCAGTCTTCCATAGAACCAGGAAGAGTCAATGTGGTTGATGATGTCTGAGACAGTCTTTTGAAGAATACTCTTTTCTTCGTGAGAGGGTGGTCATTTTATGCCAATCGACCAATTAGATGAAGCTCACCGAAATGATGGAGGGCAATCTGCTTTATTCCAATTCCACAGATTGGAGCCATGTATGATGTTAGGCCTTCTCTACAAAGGTTTTTCCTCTTTAAAATATAAATGTATTTGAATAACCACGCAGCACAATGATGTGCAGACAGGCAGACTAAACAATTGTTCAAAACATAAATATATGAAGGAACTTCCTTTAATATATCAATTTGTTATATTTAATATTACAACATTATTGAATTTTTGTCATCATATATATACATTTTAAATACTGGTAAAAATTAGGTCGCAAAATTAATATTATAACTAAATCATTGAAAAATATGTGACAAGAGCCTTGAACCAGATCCTTTATTTTTTGTTATATTTAATAAATTTGTTTTTTAAATTATTAATACATACTCAAATATTCTATCAGGATTAAATTTAAATATTCTAAATTTAGTATCTTGATTGTGATTTTCTTCTGTCTACTCTTTATGACTTTGAAGTATTTTTTAGTCAAGTAAAAGATGTTTCAGAAATTATGTGATCTGTTAATACCCAAAATTACCACAATTATATTACCACAATACTATTTGTTACATCATAGTGGGCTTAATATTACTTTAAATAAATGATATAGAGAAAAGCTATGATGTTAAGCACTTCAGCTAAATTTGTCTTTAAACCAGCATTTTTACTAGATGCCAAAAGATGAGTTTTCCTGGTTTAGCCTAAGTCAATATTAGCATATATAGAAAAGATTGAGAGTTATAAAGAGTAAATGACTATGATTCTGGAAGAAATTAATAATATACGATCAGCTTTGAAAATTAATATAAAGCCACATCTATAAATACAAATTTAGTAGAAGACATAACTCTCCAAATATCTTGAGTTTGACATTGAAACACTAAATTTGCAAAGGAGGAGAGAAATAATAGCCATTTATTGAGCACTTGCTATAGAAATAGACTTTTGTGCACATTGTTTTATTGCAACTTTGTAGTAAATCTCACAGCTATCAAGTGCCAGAGGCAAGATTAAACTTCCTGTCACCCAAATAATGCATGGACTTTTCAATGATTTACTGCCTTCTATTAGACCTTGTCTACATTCTGAAAGTTACATTCCAACCCCACCCACTATCCCCAGTGAAATAAAACAAAACATGATTCTCGAGGTATTTGGATTTTTTTAACCATTGAAGCTAGAGAAACAATAGAAGTAAGTAGCAGTCCTAAGTGACTTCTAGATACCATGGCTAGCAAAAATAAACTTAAAATAATTTTTTATTGTTTTTCTTGTTATATCAAAATATAAATGCTCATTAGTTGAATAAGATAAATATGTTCTTGCCCTTTATTGGTAAATTCCTGATTGTTCATACTTCAAACTGATCTGTTTTCAACTGGTTTTCAATTATTGGCCAGAACTTTGCACAAATCAGGTGTGTATGAATACAAATTATTCACCTATACAATGGTCAAGAATTAATGTGTTTTCTACAGTCTTTTTAGTAGCTAAAGTGTTTAGTACAAAATAACATATTTGATCTTGTTTTCTTAGGTTCTAGCTACTAAAATAATCTCCAAATGATCTGAAAATTTCTCCTACCTGTGGAACAGCAAATGTAGGTTTGATTTCCTAATGAATATGGTTCATATAGATTGTTTATATCCACTTACTTGAATGTTGATGAAACTCACAGGAGATATGCCCAAGAGAATATGCTTTCATTATCTTCCAGTTTAAGAACAGCAATATGATTTATTCAATAGTGAAAAAGTAAATGGCTTAGAAAAAGGTACCGTATGTTGACATTTATTGAATGGTTTTTTGTCCTCTGGTTAAAATGATGGCATTTAAAAATGTTTTAAAGTGTTTTAATATTAAATAAAAACCTTAAGATATGAGACATATATAATTTAATTTATTTGTTTATTTTTGAGACAAGGTCTTGCTCTGTGGCCCAGGCTATAGTGCAATGCTGTGATCTCAGCTCATTGCAACCTCCACATCCCAGGCTCACCTCCACCTCAGCCTCCTGAGTAGCTGGGACTATAGTTGTGCACCACCATGTCTGTCAAGTTTTTCTAATTTCAGTAGAGATGGGGTTTCTCTATGTTGTCCAGGCTGGTCTCCAACTTCTAGGCTCAAGCTGTTGGCCTGTTTTGGTTCCCAAAGTTCTGGGATTACAGTCATGAGCATCTGTGCCTGGCCATGACACACAATTTTATAACATAACTTTGACACTGGCTTAAAACTTAACTTCTCTGAGGCCTAGTGTCCTCATGCTGGCAATATAAGCCATTTTATATTGCAATGAGTCAGTAAATATAGTGAACTATAATAACATTGAATCACCATATGTCTTCCACACAATCTAGCAGATAGATTTACAGTCATTCAAATGCATTACACTTTCATTCTGTTAAAATTATAAACTGCTATGTTTGCAGTGAATAAAGTATAATACTTGAAATCATTGGAGTATTAATAGCAAATTAATAAGAAAGCTACAAAAATGCCATAGACTTAAAGAAGGCAAAAAATTTACATCTCTGTAAAACATCATAAGTCATCTCATGTTCCAATATTGGGTGCACAGATATTTAGAATTGATATATACTCTTGTTGAATTGATCCTTTTATTTTTATATTATGACTCTTTTTGTCTGTCTTTTTACTCTTTTTTTATTATTTATTTAAAGTCAGTTTTATCTGAGATACAGTGTAGTTTTTCTGCTCACTTTCGGTTTCTATTTGCATGGAATATCCTTTTCGACTACTCCTTTACTTTTAGTCTATATGTGTTTTTATCACCAAGGATACAGTTTGATCATTCTTTAAATTCATTCCACAAATGTATATCTTTTAACAGGAACATTAATCCATTTACAGTCAAGGTTAATACTGATATGTGAGGTTTTATTCCTGTCACATTGTACATTTTTAGCTAGTTGTTTTACACATTCTTATTTTTTTTCTTTTTTTTTTTGTAGTTTAGTGTAGTTCTGTTGTATTGCTATTTAATTCCAGTCTCTTCCTTCTTTGTGTAATTGTCTTATACAATGGCTGAATTTTATAATCCCATGTGATATTTTGGTAGTGAATATCAGCCTTTTGTTTTTATGTTTAGGACTTTTTCTAGTATTTCTTATGAGGCTGATCAAGTAGTGATGCATTCCATCACCGTTTGCTTGTCTGGAAAAGACTTTATTTATCCTTCATTTATAGAGCTTATTGTAGCTGGATATAAAATTCACAGCTCTTTTTTTTTTTTTCCTCTCCTTTAGCACTTTCAAAATAGCCTCTCATTCTCTTCTGGCTTGCAAGACTATTGCTGAAAAGTTTGTTTTTTGTCTGATGGGGCTTCCTTTTCAGCAGACTAGACACTTTTCTCTTGCTGACATTGGAATTTTTTGTTCACATTGAATTTAGACAGTCTGATGACTATACAGCATGGCAAAGTCCGATTTGCAATGTATTTTTCTAATGATGACTGAGACTCTTGTATCTGAATGTATAAATCCCTTGTTAGCATTCTTCTTATCAGCACATAGAGCAATGGAACAGAATAGAGAACCAAGAAATAAGACCACATACCTACTACCATCTGAACTTTGACAAACCTGACAAAAAAAAGCAATGGGGAAAGGATTCCATATTCAATACATGGTGCTGGGAGAACTGGCTAGCCATATGCAGAAGATTGAAACTGGACTTCTTCCTTACACCATATACAAAAATCAACTCAAGATGGATTAAAGACTTAGATGTAAAACACAGAAGAAAGCCTAGCAATACCATTTTGGACATAGGCATGGGCAAAGATTTCATGATGAAGATGCCAAAAGCAATTGCAACAAATGCAAAAATTGACAAATGGGATGTAATTAAACTAAAGAGCTTCTTCACAGCAAAAGAAACTATCAACAGAGTAAACAGCAACCTACAGAATGGGAGAAAAATTTTGCAATCTATTCTCTGACAATGGTCTAATATCCAGAATGTACAAATAACTTAAGCAATTTCACAAGAAAAAAACAAACAACTCCATTAAAAAGTGGGCAAAGGGGCTAGGTGCAGTGGCTCATGCCTGTAATCCCAACAGTTTGGGAGGCTGAGGTGGGTGGATTGCCTGAGCTCAGGAGTTTGAGACCAGCCTGGCCAATATGGTGAAACCCCGTCTCTACTAAAATACAAAAAACTAGCCGGCATGGCAGCGTGCACCTGTAATCCCAGCTACTTCAGAAGCTGAGACAGGAGAATAGCTGGAACCCAGGAAGTGGAGGTTGCAATGAGCTGAGATCCCACCACTGCACTCCAGCCTGGGTGACAGAGAGAGACTCTGAAAAAAGGAAAGAAAGAAAAAGTAAGAAAGAAAGAAAGAAAGAAAGAAAGAAAGAAAGAAAGAAAGAAAGAAAGAAAGAAAGAAAGAAAGAGAAGAAAGAAAGAAAGAAAGAAAGAGAGAGAGAGAGAGAGAAAGAAGAAAGAAAGAAAGAAAGAAAGAAAGAAAGAAAGAAAGAAAGAAAGAGAGAAAGAAAGAAAGAAAGGGAGAGAGAGAGAGAGAGAGGGAGAGAGGGAGGGAGGGAGGGAGGGAGGGAAGGAGGGGAAGGAAATATGGTACACAAACGTGACAGAGCAAGACTCTGAATAAAAAGAGAGAAAGAAGAACAAAAGAAAGAAAGAAAGAAAGAAAGAAAGAAAGAAAGAAAGAAAGAAAGAAAGAAAAAGAATGAAAGAAAGAAAGAAAGAAAGAAAGAGAAGAAAGAAAGAAAGAAAGAGAGAGAGAGAGAAAGAAGAAAGAAAGAAAGAAAGAAAGAAAGAGAGAAAGAAAGAAAGGGAGAGAGAGAGAGAGAGAGGGAGAGAGGGAGGGAGGGAGGGAGGGAGGGAAGGAGGGGAAGGAAATATGGTACACAAACGTGACAGAGCAAGACTCTGAATAAAAAGAGAGAAAGAAGAACAAAAGAAAGAAAGAAAGAAAGAAAGAGAGAAAGAAAGAAAGAAAGGGAGAGAGAGAGAGAGAGAGGGAGAGAGGGAGGGAGGGAGGGAGGGAGGGAAGGAGGGGAAGGAAATATGGTACACAAACGTGACAGAGCAAGACTCTGAATAAAAAGAGAGAAAGAAGAACAAAAGAAAGAAAGAAAGAAAGAAAGAAAGAAAGAAAGAAAGAAAGAAAGAAAGAAAAAGAAAGAAAGAAAGAAAGAAAGAAAGAAAGAAAGAAAGAAAGAAAGAAAGAAAGAAAATGTGGTACATATACGCAAGAAATGTGGAATACTATGCAACCATAAAAAAGAACAAGATCATGTTCTTTGCAGGGGCATGGCTGGAGCTGAAGGCCATTGTGCTTAGCAAACTAATGCAGGAACAAAAGTCCAAATACACATGTTCTCACTTAGAAGTGGGAGCTGAACAATGAGAACACATAGACACATGGTGGGGAGAGTAACACACACTGAGGCCTGTTGGAGCATGAGGGGCAGGGTGGAAGGAGAAAGAGGTTCAGGAAGAATACCTAGTGGATGCTGTGCTTAATACCTGGGTGATGGGATGATCCGTGCAGCAAACCACCATGACACAGGTTTACCTATGTAACAAACCTGCACATCCTGAACATGTACCCCTGAACTTAAAATTAAAGTTGACAATTTAAAAAAAAGAATTAATATCTTAAAATGAATATACCACCTAAAGCAATCTATAGATTTAATGCAATTTCTATCAAAAGACCAACGTGATTTTTCATAAAATTGGAACAAATAATCCTAATATGCATATGGAACAACAAAAAAAGAGTGAATAGCCAAATCAATCCCAAGTGAAAAATAAGGCTCAAGGCTTCACATTACCAGGCCTTAAGTTACACTATAAGGCTGTAATAATCAGAACAGTATGGTAGGATATAAGGCAGACACAGATCAATGGAAAAGAATAGACAACTCATAAATAAAGCCATATATATACATCCAACAGATTTTTAACAAATTTAACAAAAACACACACTGGACAAAGAATCCTATTTGCAATAAATGGTGTAGGAAAATTGGATTACCATTTACATATACAAAAATCAACCCGAGTTGGATGGAGGACTTAAATATATGACTTGAAAATAGAAAAATACAAGAAGAAAAACTAGGAAAAAATCTTCTGGACATTGGTCTATGCAATATTTCATGACTAATACCACCAAAACACAGTCAACGTAAACAAAAATAAACTCATGAGATGTAATTAAACTATAAAGCTCCCATACAGCAAAATAAATCATCAACAGGGCACAGAGAATCCACATAATGAGAGAAAATATTTGCAAATTATGCATCTGATGGGAGACTAATATCTACAATTTAGAAAGAATTCAAGCAATTCAACGAAGAAAAATAACCTTATTTAAAAGTGACCAAAAGATATCAATAAACATTTTACAAATGAAGACATGCAATGAACATGGCCAATAAGCATATGAAAAAATGCTCAACATCACTTATTAGAGAAATGAAAATTAAAACCTTAATTAGATATCGTCTCACACCAGTTAGAATGACCAATCTTAAAATGTCAAAAAAAAAAAAAAAACAGATGTTGGCAAAGAAAAGGGGATGCTTATGCACTGCTGTTGGGAATGTAAGCTAGTACTACCTATATGGAAGACAGTATGGAGATTTCTCAAATAACTGAAAATGGAACGACTATTTGATCTAGCAATCCCACTACTGGGTATCTGCCAAAAGATAAATCAGTATCTTACTTTGGGTAGATACCCAGTAGTTGAATTGCTGGATCAAATGGTGGTTCTATGATACTTGCACTTTTATGTTTATCACCACACTATTCACAGTAAGAAAAATACAGAATCACTCTAAGTGTTCAACCATGGATGACTAGATGCAGAAAATATGTTATATATAAGCAGTTGAATACTATTCACCAACAAAAGAATGAAAGCATGTCTTTTGCAGCAACATGGATGAAACTGGAGGCCATTATCTTAAATGAAACAATTTTAAAAAAGAAAGTCAAATATGATATGTTCTCACTTATAAGCAGGAGCTAAATAATGTATACATATGACATAGAGTGTGGAATGAATTACAGTGGAAAGTTGGAAGGGTGAGAGAGTCAGAGGTATGTGGAGTATAAGAAATTACTTAATGGGTACAATGCACATTATTCAGGAGATGGATACACTAAAAGTCAAGATATTCAATATATTCAATATATCCATACAACAAAATTGCACCTCTACTCAATGCATTCAGAAAGAAAGAAAGAAAGAGAGAGAGAAAGGGAAAAAAAGAGAAAGAGAGGAAAGAAGGAAGGAAGGAAGGAAGGAAGGAAAAGGTAGAAAGAGAAAAAAGGAAGGAGAGAAAGAAGCTGATGCAAGGCAGGCATAAACTTTCACTAATAAACTCAGAATCTCCATCAACATATTTAAAAAATCAATAAACAAGCAAACATGAAATGAGTGAAAGTGAAAAATACATAAATGGATAATTTTTATTTGTTTTTTCAAAATTATATCAAAGACTACCACCACAAAACCTGAAAATAAAAAGAATATTGAGTCAAAGCACCCTGTTGCAACAGAATCTTGTTAAATCAGCAACTTTTTTTTTTTTTTTTACCAGACACAGAATTAACTGGGAAAAGGAAGGATTAACAGTACCTATAACACATGGAATTCGTGAATTTTCAAACTCCACCAGTAAAAAGAAAAGACAATTTATTGAGTGAAAATTCCAGCAAAGTCAAGCTGGAAGAGTAGATAAGCTTTTATATGTTCCAAGTTTCAGGTGAATTACCACCCCAACCCCTGTGCAGTCTCAATACAGGTGTCGCCAAAGGATCGTGAATGATTGAAACTGTGCTCAAGGTAATTAAGGATGTCACAAATGTGCAGCATATACACCCTTTCAGTAGGACAAGTAAAGACTTGTCCTTGTTTCCCTAAGGAAAACAAAACGCTGAAAAAAAAAAAAGCTAACTGAGTCAAGTAGAATCATTGGGAAGAAAAGCTTCACTAAGAAAGGAGAATTCTGGGAGATGTAGTTCTCAGAACACTTAGGGCAACATAAAATGTCTAAGGTGTGGAGAACCACTTTGAAAGGCAAGAACTGACTGTCTATAGGACTCAAGGAAGAGCAGGGAGAATTTGCTCATAAATTAGGCTTAGGTCTGAGAGCTAAAGTAGCTTTACAGTAATATTTTAAGGCCACAATGAAAGCTAGAGAGTGATTCCTTCAGCATGAACCTGGAAAAGTTACTTTGATATATCACCAACTTCCTATGTACCTTCTTCTGAGAGTCAAGATGCCCAGCACATTTAAACATGGATGGAGCAAGAAGATGGCAATTGAACTCCATATGATGAGAGTTAAAGTATACAAGGATGAAAATAACAAAATAATGTTTTAGAAGGTTGCCAGCAGCCCGTTACCATTGTCAGCAGCCTCAGCTACCTTATTCTGTCCTCTAGTCATTATCTATTCTGAAGCAATGATAAATTTATGTAATAGCTAGTTTTCTAAAGTTTTAATATAAACAGAAAAATTTACCATTTATAAGTGTCAGTTATATGAATTTTGATAAACACAAGTAGGTAAGCAAATCAAGTTATAGTATATTTTCATTACCCTATAAAGTCCTCTCATCACTTTGTAGCCAATTACTTTCCTTTACTCCCAAGTTCTGGCAACCACAGATGTGCTTTCTGTTGTGATTTTGCCTGGTCCAGGATATTATATCAATGGAATCACAATGTATGTAACTTTTTGAGTTTGGCTTTTTCAACTTAGCAAGAAGTATTTGAGATTCATTCCTGTACTAGATAATTATATTTTATACCTACTTATCACTGAGTAGTATTCCATATTATGGATGTACTACAATTGTTTTATTCATTCACTAGGTGTTGGAAATGTGTTTATTTTTCTGAGTAATGTGCCTTTGAATTTCATCCATGTCTTTTTATGACTTGATAGTTCATTTCTTTTTAGAGCTGAATAATATTTCATTATCTGGATAAACCACAGTTTATTAATACATTTATTTACTGAAGAGCATTTTAGTTGCTTGTAAGTTTTGGCAATTATAAATAAAGCTTCTGTAAACATCCATGTGCAAAACTTTGTGTGGATATTGTTTCCTTTGGGTAAGCACCAAGGAGCATGATTACTGGATTATAAGTAAATTTAGCTTTGTAAGAAGCTTCCAAACTGTCTTGCAAAGTAGTTGGACCATTTTGCATTCCCACCAGTAATGAATGAGAATTCCTGTTTTCCTGTTGCTGCACATCACCGCCAGCTTTTGCTGTTTTCTGTGTTCTGGGATTTTGGTCACTCTAGTTATGAAGAGATATATCATTGTTTTTTTTGCATTTCCTTGATGACCTATGATGTGGAGCATCAATTTCATATGGTTACATGCCATATGTATATCTTTTATGGGGTATCTTTGACTCATTTTTAAAATCATTTTTTTTTTTTTTTGAGACGGAATCTTGCTCTGTCGCCCACGCTGGCGTGCGGAGGCACAATCTCAGCTCACTACAACCTCTGCCTTTCAGGCTGGAAGCTGGAACTACAGGCGAGCCACTGCACCCGGCCTTTTTGACCATTTTAGGTGGTTTTTAAGGTCTTTGACTCATTTTTAAATCAGGTTGTTTGTGTTCCTATTGAGTTTTAAACAGTTCTTTGTAAATTTTAGATAACAGTCTTTTATCAGATGTGTCCTTGCAAGTATTTTCTCCTAGTCTGTTGTCATTTCATTCTTTTGATCATCCATGTATTTTTCATCACATTTTGGATAATTTCTTATGTGCATATCAAAGAACAAGTATATAGATTAGTATATCAATTCTTGAAGATAGAAAAGATCTCGCAGAACTTAAAAAATTGACCTTTAACTCTGCCATATATCTGAGTCTAATGTTCTAGTTCACAGAAAATTATTACATAGAACATCTGCATATTGCCCTAACTCTTCTGTTAATATTCTCTATTCATAGATTTACCTTATAATTATGTGCATTAATATCTCCTCTATTAATTTTTTTTTTTGAGATGGAATCTCACTCTTTCACCCAGGCTAGAGTGTGCAGTGGCATGGTCTCGGCTCACTGCCAACCTCTACCACCTGGGTTCAAGCAATTCTCATGCCTCAGCCTCCCCAGTAGCTGGGATTACAGGCGTCCACCACCAAGCCCGGCTAATTTTTTGTATTTTTAGTAGAGATGGGGTTTTTCCATGTTGGCCAGGCTGTTCTCGAACTCCTGACCTCAGGTGATCTGCCTGTCTCGGCCTCCCAAAGTGCTGGGATTACAGGCATGAGCCACCGCACCTGGCCTATTAAATTTTCAATGAAGTTAAATCTCTCTCATACCATTTAGAATTAGAGGACTGTCAAATTTAAATAAATATAGTAACCTTTATTAAATGATTATATGTCTTGTCATAGGTTATGTTTTCATATTATTTCATTATGTATGTGACAATAGGACTTCCAGATAATTCATAGGTTATAATTTCAAGAAGAAACTGAATTTTAGAGAATTTAAGTTATTAATTTGATAGCATGTAGATAATTAGAATCAGAGCTAGCACTATGGCCTGTATTATTAGCTTTCTTTTTCAGTAATATGCATATTTTTTTCCACTGGGGGATTATTTTGGACCTAGGTAGAAAGTACACTTATGTGATCATTGGAATCATGTAATGCATGTTCCAGATCAGTTACTTGTTCACTACAGAAAAAAAAAAAAATCATAATTTGTTTTATCCCAGAAGAGAATTAGTGTGTTTTCTTCTTTGGGCATCCCTGTGGAATTCTAGAGCTCAAGGGCCTGGTATAAGAATTCAAATGCACAATATTCATAGCATACCTGAATTGAGTGAGCAGTTCATTTCCAAAGGTAAGAGAAAAGGAATCTGATCACTTGTAAAATATTAAGAAGCTCTCACCTTGAATTTAAGACTAAAACATATTTCTTACTATTTAAATATAAGAAAGAGGGTTCTGTTTAATGTGAAGCTGTATTACAAATTGAATCACATACTTTCCAAGGATCATAGGAGAGAATACGTGTGTTGTTTTAGCAACAGTTTATAAAAATAATTGTATTACTTGTTATTGGATGGTATTTATTTTATAGAAATTTCAGAAGTTACGTAAGAATCATAGTAAAAGGATAGCCATAATTCATTTTTGATATAAATATGTCACAAAAATACACCCAAGGACTTCACAGGCATAATGACCAAATGATCATATAAATTGACACGTCTGATATTGGTTTTAAGTTAAAATCTGAAAAATAATAATGCTTAAAAAAACTGCACAGGCCAAAATGAACAAATTGGTGATATTTTTTTCAGGAAAGAAAAGTGAAACACAAAAGGAAAAATAAATGAAAAATGAACACCAAATTCTTTTGGTTTGCAAACAAGGTGCATCTATCTCCAGAATCAAATCTCTTGTATCCACCACCATTCTGTAAGTACTAATGCAACAGCAGGATAATTGCCAAAAAAAAAAAAAGGATTTGAAATGGTTTGGTCAGAAAGACTGTCTCAAATGATAAATTTTAATATAAGCCTGACATTGCATTTTCTAGTTATCTGGGCATATTTAAATATTAAATAACTTACATACTGTTTTTCCCATTTAAATACAACCCACTCTTATAATGTAGATATGATTGTTTCCATATTTAAAATGAGAAAAATAAAGTAATTCAATGGACTTTTTAGAAAACCTAGGAATAGCACTCAGTCTTTATGAGTTTTGAAACAATTTAATATTAAGAATAGATGGTAGTACATTTGATGGAAAATGAACAGGAAATTAAACTGATTAAATAGACTTTTTTTACACTTTAAGTTCTGGGGTACATGTGCAGAATGTGCAGTTTTGTTACATAGGTATACACGTGCCACGGTGGTTTGCTGCACGCATCAACCCGACACCTACCTTAGGTATTTCTCGTAACGTTATCCCTCCCCTAGCCTCCCACCCTCCGACCGGCCCTGGCGTGTGATGTTCCCCTTCCTATGTCCATGTGTTCTCATTGTTCAACTCCCACTTACGTGTGAGAACATGCGGTGTTTGGTTTTCGGTTCTTGAGATAGTTTGCTGAGAATGATGGCTTCCAGCTTCATCCATGTTAAAAAGATAAATTTAGTGCATGATTGAATAAAATAATTTATTTAATTTATTTAATTACAGTAATGTATCCACTTGGACCCAATTTTATCACCACCTGTGCATTTGCTGACAAGGATTTCATCTTGCTTTTCCAAGAAACGAACATGAGGATATAATTGGATAAACTTAATTTTCACAGGCTGTTGCATTTAGTACATATAAACAATAGCTAAAATGTCAGGGTTGCCTTCAGATATGGATCTATACAAGCTTCAATTAAACAATTTTACTGAAGTCACCATGTTTATATTAATAAGCTTCACAGAAGAATTTGATGTGCAAGTCTTCCTATTTTTATTATTTTTAGCAATCTATCTATTCACTCTAATAGGCAATTTAGGGCTGGTTGTACCGATCATTGGGGATTTCTGGCTTCACAGCCCAATGTACTATTTTCTTGGTGTTTTATCATTCTTGGATGTCTGCTATTCTACAGTTGTCACTCCAAAAATGTTGGTCAATTTCCTGGCAAAAAATAAATCTATTTCATTTCTTGGATGTGCAACACAGATGTTTCTTGCTTGTACTTTTGGAACCACAGAATGCTTTCTCTTGGCTGCAATGGCTTATGATCGCTATGTAGCCATCTACAACCCTCTCCTGTATTCAGTGAGCATGTCACCCAGAGTCTATGTGCCACTCATCACTGCTTCCTATGTTGCTAGCATTTTACATGCTACTATACATACAGTGGCTACATTTAGCCTGTCCTTCTGTGGATCCAATGAAATTAGGCATGTCTTTTGTAATATGCCTCCTCTGCTTGCTATTTCTTGTTCTGACACTCACGTAATCCAGCTTCTATTCTTCTACTTTGTGGGCTCTATTGAGATAGTCACTATCCTGATTGTCCTGATCTCCTATGGTTTTATTCTGTTGGCCATTCTGAAGATGCAGTCTGCTGAAGGGAGGAGAAAAGTCTTCTCTACATGTGGAGCTCACCTAACTGGAGTGACAATTTATCATGGGACAATCCTCTTCATGTATGTGAGACCAAGTTCCAGCTACACTTCGGACAATGACATGATAGTGTCAATATTTTATACCATTGTGATTCCCATGCTGAATCCCATCATCTACAGTTTGCGGAACAAAGATGTAAAGGAGGCAATCAAAAGATTGCTTGTGAGAAATTGGTTCATAAATAAGTTATAGTTTTAAAATTGAGTAAAGTTGCAAATAATATTGGGTGTCAGTCCACATCTCTATGGTCAGAAAGTAGAGAAGAAAATGTGTTTCTTTTAGTTAACAGTGCTTGTAACTTCTAGAATATTTTCAAATAAAGCATCAATCAGCCTACTAATTCACCATTTTAGAAATATCAATATATTGTATCATGTATAAAATATGGCTTGTATTCATAGCCTATGACAATGTTTAAACTAATCTGCATTAAATATTCATTGATGTGCAAACATTGCTGTTTTTAGTTTTTGTATAACTTGATTTTCACTGGCTATGTTAATAATGATGTCCTCTGGATTCTATGGCTTCATGTGTTCCTACATAACTCTATAATGGGTGCTAAAGTAAGTTTTCCCAGCACCATTTATTGAAGAGGCTCTCCTTTCCCCAATGTATTTTCTTGGCACCTTTGTTGAAAATGAGTTCCATAGTATAATCTGAAGTCAGATAATGTTATGTGGGTGGCAAGCCATCCAGGTGCTGAGACAAGAGACCGAGGGCACGAGCTGTTCCAGTATAATAAAATATATAAAACAATAAGAGTTATACTAGATCTAGATCATAGACATGATTATATATGAATATCATTAATCATTAGTTTGTAGCAATTACTCTTTATTCCAATGTTATAATAATCCTCGCTCTATAATCATAACCTAGGAAAAACCAGGCCATACAGAGGTAGGAGCTGAGGGGACATAGTGAGAAGTGACCAGAAGGCAAGAGTGCGAGCCTTCTGTTTTGCCTGGACAGGGTCACCAGAGGTCTCCTTGGTCTAGCGGTAATGCCAGCGTCTGGGAAGACGCCCGTTGCCAAGCTGACCATGGTCTAGCGGTAGCCTCAGTGTCAAGGAAAAACACCCGCTACTTAGCTGACCAGGAAAGGGATTCTCCCTTTCCCTGGGGGAGTTTAGAGAAGACTCTACTCCTCCACCTCTTGTGGAGGGCCTGACATGAGTCAGGCCCGCCCACAGTTATCCTGAGGCCTAACCGTCTCCCTGTGATACTGTGCTTCAGTGGTCACGCTCCTAGTCCGCCTTCATGTTCCACCCTGTACACCTGGCTCTGCCTTTTAGATAACAGTAGCAAAATTAGTGAAAGTACTAAAAGTCTCTGATATGCAGAAATAATGGCGCAAGCTGTCTCTCTCTCTCCCTCTCTCTCTCTGCCTTGGCTGCCAGGCAGGGAAGGGCCCCCTGTCCAGTGGACACGTAACCCACATGACCTTACCTACCATTAGAGATGACTCACACTCTTTACCCTGCCCCTTTTACTTTGTATCCAATAAATAACAGCACAGCCAGACATTCAGAGCCACTACCAGTCTCCGTGTCTTGGTGGTAGTGGTCCCCCAGGCCCAGCTGTCTTTTCTTTTATCTCTTTGTCTTGTGTCTTTATTTCTATGCTCTCTCATCTCTGCACACAAGGAGAAAACCCACCAACCCTGTGGGGCTGGACCCTACAATGTTATTTCTCCATTTTTTTTTTCTCTTTGCTTATGATAGCTTTGGCTATTCTGGGTCTTTTGTGTTTTCATATAAATTTTAAGGTTCTTATTTATTTTTGTAAAGAATGTATTTGTATTTTGATAGGAATTGCATTGAATCTATAGATTGCTTTTGGTAGCCCAGGCATTTTAACAATATTGATTTTTCCAGTTCATGAACATGGAATATCTTTCCATTTTATGTGTCCTACTCAATTTATTTCATCAACATTTTATAGTTTTTATGGTACAGATCTTTCACTTCTTTGGTTATTCGTAGGTATTTAACTTTATTTATGGATATTGTAGATTTTTAAATTTCTTTTTCAGATTGATTGCTATTGGCATCGTAAACCAAAGATAAAATTCAAACCCCCGCACCCCACCCTTCCCCACAACCATCTGAATGGACTCCCTCCTCGGGCAGGGGACTCTAAAATTTAATGTGAAAGACCAGATTAGGCCATGACTGGAAGTAGGATCTGATGTGCCTCATTATAATCCTCCAGTGCTAGCATCAACACAGACTGTAAGTCTCATGAGAAACATTTACAATCTATTCTAAGCTTGCTACTTGGAGGCTTCAACTGCATGATAAAACCTTGGTCTGCACAATCCCTTATCTTAATCCAGACATTTCTTTCTACAGAAAACAACTCTTTCAACCAATTGCCAATCAGAATCTACTCAAATCTACCAATGACCTGGAAGTCCCACCCCTCCCCACCTCCTGCTTCAAGTTGTCCCACCCTTCCACATCAAACCAATGGAATTTTACATGCATTGATGGATGAAATTTCTAAAATTTGAATATGTCTTAGTGTAGGCTATCAGTCATAATTATGGTCATTATTTAAGCTATTTTAGAACACAGAAGTAACCAAATTTTTTTGTCAGTTGTCTGTTACTATGACTATTTAAAGTCATTTCCATGATTAATTGTTTAATTCTGATGCAGTTTCTGAAAACCTCACAAGCACACAAAATCCTAGAATATGGTATCTTTTAGGAGGTTCATGAAAGGATAGAAAGGACCCTGAAAAGCACTCATTCTTGAATAAATACAGCTTTCTGATAACTTTAGAATCATATCATTTGGACTGGGTGAGAATTTCCTCAACTTTAATGAAAGGACTAACTGGTTTATAAAACTGCAAACCCAAGTAGAACAAAGAATAATTGAATAGCAAGAAAATACTTTGCCAGATTTTTATGCTACATCAGCCATTACTACAATTGTTTAGATATACAGTTTGAATGAACTCCATGGTCTGAGTCAATTTACTTACGATAACCCATCAGTTATCAGTGCTATGCACCTAAATTGGAGAAACAACTGATATTCAAGAGGACACAAGTTTAATGTTAAGCCTGGACTTGTGGAGAACCAGGAAAGCCACCTTGTCCTTCCTGAGTCCCTAAAGCTTTGTTGTTAAGAGTTCTGCATTCTGTGACTCATCATGCAAAAGATAAAATGATCCAAATTAAATATATATTGGTGTGGTGACTTCTAAATTGCTGAAATAGTTTATGACCAATGTTTGGTTTGTCAAACCCATATTCCTAGGAAAACAATCAAAGCTTCAGGTACATTTCACTACCTGATGGATCACTCAAACATTTATAGAGGGACTTCATACAATTGTCATTTTCAATGCATGGGTTTTGGTTGTATAAAAGTTTTCTCATACAAGAGGGCTGATGTTATAACAGTAGATTATTATGCTACAGTATATGTTCACCAGGTAAAGAAAGCTTTTTTATAGTTTGCTGACTGAGGACAATAAACCCCTTTACAATCTAGAACCCAAAGACTGGATCTTTTGAGAACATCAGAGAAATACTGCCCTTGTCATCCACACTGTAGCAAAACTTCAATACCTTGAATCTTGGGTTCAAAATCTCACAACTCAGAAGGGTCCGTCCACACAAGTGAAATTGTACACTTCCCTTTGGAACCCTTAAGGTAAAGGTAACCAGGGATGTTTCTCCACAGAAGAAGATAGCATCTTTGATGTGAACAGCTTTTTCCCAAGATCACAGATGAAGATTTCTCTACTATCATGAGACTCTTATCTTTGAATCTTTTTTTCCCTTGCTTAAGTCTCTATGAACAATAGAAGTGAAATGGGAGTATGTTGTGTGCACTCATGGGGTATACTTTTATTTGTAAAGGATTTTGAAGCCAGCCTTATACATGGATAACCTAATACCTTGATAGATGGAAAACGAAGGCCCAAGGTAGATGAGAAATTTTAATGGTACATATGTTGCCTCAAAATCAGTCAGAAACAGAACATTGGTTCACTCCTTTTAACCTACCTCACAGGTTAAAGAGAACATTAAAAGTAGGCCCTTTACTAGAATGGCATCATTTGTTAGGTCCTCTTTTTCCATGGTTTTAAGTAAAAGACGCAATGATTAGGAATGTATCCCTCATGATAGGCTCTATAGCAGATTCTATTGTATAGGTGATGATTATACAACAGACTTTAAATTCTCTTGTAAAAGTTATGCTAAATAATAGAATTGCTCTACATTACTTACTGGCTAAACAGAGAAGTATCTGTGTAGCTGCTGGCACTTGTGGCCTATGGAGAAATATATCACATCAGGTCTTATAGAGGGGATTAACAAAGAGACTGCTTAGTAAAGTGAGTAGACTTTTTAGCTCATTCTTTTATCTTTTTGATTTTAGGTGGTTTGGTTTAGGGGGAACCTGGGTAAGGAGCATACTCCAAACTCTTGGTATTATCCTCCTGATAATAGTAGTTTCCCTGGTGCACTGTATTATCTTAAAAATTTTAAATGTTTGCATGGAGCCATCCTTAGAATGTCAAATGGTGTCTCTTCAACTGGAATGACAAGACCTGAAAGAAATGTGTGACCATATGGGCACCGTAACTTATGAGAGACATGATGAGACTGGAAACCCAAAATGGTGGTAACTGAGAGTGGTGCTTAGGCCCTAAGTGTTTGTCGCAATCTCACCTGAGAACATGAACAAAAGTGGAAAATTTTTAAACAAAATTATGAGCGGTCATTGTTTTGGACTGAGCTTATGCACTAGGCCCCAACAGACCAGACTAAACCAAAATGGAGTCATTCATGCTAAATGTGACATAATTAAGCTAAGACTTTAAGGATACGCTTAGATCCTAGAACACACCAGGTTTTGTTTTCTCTCCTGTAAAAAGGATGTTCCAGCATAAGGAGGTACCCTCTATTCTAACCCTTTCAAAAAAATGAATAAATAACCTGAAGTCCCTGTTCCCATCTTACAAAACCTACTGTTTTGCTATTTCCCAGTGGCTTTCAAGCCCAAATAAGTACATTTATACTGGTGAAACTGACATCAATTACTAAACTTTTTGTCCACCTTTAAAAATTGAGATGACCAAAGAGAGAAATTATTAAATCGAGTTTAACCTGAAGCTGCCTCATTACGTATTTTAACTTTGGCCAAAAGGTTTCTTTGTACATCACAAACTAGAACAAGTGGAGGTGTAAACAGACTGAAGCCTACATCTGTGCCAATCACCAAGTTTTGGCCAATCAAATGGAGCCAACTGTTTGAACCATGTTCAAACATGGCAAACACCAACCTATAACCAATTCAGCTATTTCTATACCTCACTTTTGTTTTCTGTATGTCATTTTCTTTTTCTATCCATAAATCTTCCACCATGTGGCTGCACTGGAATCTCAGAGCCTACTCTGGCTTCAGTGACTGCCCAATTTGCTAATCATTCTTTGCTTAACAAAATTCCTTTAAATTTAATTTGGCTGAAGTTTTTCTTTTATCATGTGTCCTCCTCAATTTCTTTCATTTATGTTTTATAGTTTGCATGGTACAGCTCTTTCACTTCTTTGGTTAAGTTAATTCCTAAGTATTTAACTTTATTTGTAAATATTGCAGACTTTTTATTTTTACTTTTGAATTGATTGCTACTGACATTGTAATCCAAAAATAAAATTCAAATCCCCTTCCTCATCCCACAACCATCTGAATGGACTCCCTCCTAGGCCAGGGCACTCTAAAATTAACCTCAAAGACTGGATCAGGCCATGACTGTAAGTGAGGGTCCTATGTGCCTCACTATACTCCTCCAGTATTAACATCAACACAGACTGTAGGTCTGATAAGTAACATTTACAATCTGTTCTAAACCTGCTACCTGGAGGCTTCATCTGCATGATAAAACCTTGGTCTCCACAACTCCTTATCTTAACCCAGAAATTCCTTTCTATTGATAATAACTGTTTTAGACAATTACCAATCAGAATATCTTTAAATCTATCTATGACCTTCCCCTTCTTCAAGTTGTTCCACTTTTCCACATTGAACCAATGTAAAAATATGATTGATGCATTGTATCCATAAAATGTGTAAAACCAAGTTTTACCCTGACCACGTTGGGCATATGTCATCAGTACCTCCTGAGTCTGTGTCACAGGGGTGTCCTGAACCTTGGCAAAATAAACTTTCTAAATTGACTGAGACCTGTCATCAATATTTTCAGTTTGCAGTGTATAGAAATGGTCAAAAGAAAGAGTCAAACTCTGTAAAATATTTGAAGAGATTTATTCAGGGCCAAATATGGGTGGCCATTGCCCATTACACAGCCCCCATGAGGTCCTGACAACATGTGCCCAAGGTGGTCAAGGCAGAGTTTGGTTTTTATACAGTTTAGGGAGGCATGAAACATCAATCAAATACTTTTAAGAAATACATTGGTTTGGTCCAAAATGGTGGGACAAGTCAAACAGTGGGAGGCAGCAGGTTTCAGGCTATAGGTAAATTTAAACATTTTCTGGTTGATAATTGGTTGAGTTTGTCTAAAGATCTGGAATCCATAGAAAGGAAATGTTCAGATTAAGATAAAAGATTGTGGAGACCAAGGTTCTTTTGAAGTCTTATAGTGTCTGCCCTTAGAGACAATAGATGACAAATGTTTCCTATTTAGATCTTTAAAAGGTGCTAGACTTTTAATTTATCTCATTAGGATTGGGAGGGCCTGGAAGAAAAAACATATATCTATGTTAATAGAGATTCTTTACAGATGGAAATATTCCTTTAAGGACAGCTTTACAGGGCCTTTCAAGATATGGCAAAGACATATGTTTTGGGGTAAAATATTTTGATTTTCTTCCTTGTTTCATAATGTTATGCCAGAGTCAGTTTGGAAAGTAAGTTATGATACATAGGGTTAAATAAAACCCATCTGCTGAAAAATCTATGGTTTCTAGGACATGACTACCCAGATCATTTAGATAAGAATGTGGGCAAGATAAAACAATTAGAGCTTAGTCCTCAAAATGCTACTAATTTTTTATGTTGATTTTTTATCCTGCAACTTTATTGAATTTGTTATCAGCTTTTTAATTAGTTTTCTGGTGGAGTCTCTAGGTTTTTTCAAATATAAGGTCATATCGTCTGCAAATAAGAATAATTTGACTCCTTTCTTTTCAATTTAAATCCTCTTTATTTCTTTCTATTGTCTGATTTCTCCAGTTAGGACTTCCGGTACTATTTCAAATAATAATGTTGAACATGGGCATTCTTGTCGTGTTCTAGATCTTAGAGGAAAAACATTCAGTTTTTTTTGCCATTCAGTATGTTACTAGTTGTGGGTCTGACATACATGGCTTTTATTATATAGAGTTATGTTCCTCTTATACTCAGTTTTTGGAGGGTTTTTGTCATGAAGGGATGTTGAATTTTATCAAATCCTTTTTCAGTATCAATTGAAATGTTCATGTTTTTGGTCCTTCATTCTGTCAATATCATGTATCACTTTGATTGATTTGTGTATATCAAAAAATACTTGCATGCCTGGGATAATTCCCACTTCAACATAATCAATGATATTTTTAAACCGTTGTTGAAATTGGTCTGCTAGTAGTTTGTTGAGAATTTTTGTATTGATGTTCATCAGGGATTTGACCTATAGCTTCTTTTTTGTTTGTTTGTTTGTTTGTTTCAATGGGTCTGTCTGGTTTTGGTATACTGGACTTGTAGAATGAGTTTGGAAGTACCCATCCTCTAGTTTTTGGAATAGTTAAGTAGGATTGGTATTAGTTCTTCTTTAAACATTTTGGTAAATGTAAAATTTATGACAAATATAGCAAAAGGAATGGGAGAGATCTGACTTTACTCTAAAGGTCTTATGTGAAAAGTTGAGATATAGATTATTTTAGGTAAACTATAATACATAAAACATGTTTTTATAATCCAGGGTCAACACTAAGAAGACAGAAGAGAAATATAACCAATATCAGGAATGAAATAAGGTATTTTACTCTGGTCCCTACAAATATGACAAGGAAAATAAGAACATTATAAACAACATTTTGCTAATAAAATTGACAATTAAATGAAAAATACAAATGAAAAATGTAAAGAAGCTTACATCAGAAGAAAGGGGTAACCAGGGTAGTCCTATGTCTACTTAAAAAATTGAATATGTTCTAAAAACCATCCATATGAACACAACGTTTGGAATTGTCTTCCTTACTGTCAAAAAATCTCACCTTTCTCTCAGACTAGAATGTGGGCAAAGTACTAGATTAACTCTCTTCAACAACATAGAAGAAGACATCAGGGAGATAATAGAGCAATAACATAGAAGAACCTGTGTCCTAAGATTGCCTTGTGAAAAACAGCTCCCCACAAAGTCTAGTCAGGTCAAGAGTAATAAGAATAAAACAAAGAACACTCTGCAGGTTATATTTAAGGATACTTTGTTGTTGTTGGGTCACTCTGTTTCTGAATCCTTTTTTTTTTCTTTAACATCAGAAAAGCCTGTATCCTGATTAAATACAAATTCTCTCCCCAGCACCATCCCATCATCTGATAAACTGTTCTTTCCTTTATTGAGTGCTTTTTCTGTAAATAGGACTGTACCTATACATCTGAGATTTAGCTAGTACTGCCAAAATCATACTCTCCTCTATCAACAGCCCTAGAGAATGTTTATCAGCAGCATATCCCCTTTAATAACCTCTATTATTTTGTTAATGCCTTTAATAGGGTGTAAGGGATTTTTTTTTGTTAAGAAAAGAATCCTAAATGCCCATCAATCAATGAGTGGAGAAAATATTGCTCTATGTGTATATATTCCATATATATGGATATATGATGGAATACTACTCAGCCATAAAAAGGAATGAATTAATGGCTTTAACAGCAATCTGGATGGAACTGGAGACTATTATTCTAAGTGAAGTAACTCAGGAATGGAAAACCAAACATTGTATGTTCTCACTTATAAGTGGGAGCTAAGCTATGCAGATGCAAAGGCATAAGAATTACACAATGGACTTTGGGGACTTGAGGGAGAGGGTAAGAGGGGGGTAAGGGATAAAAGACTACAACTGGGTTCAGTGTATACTGTTCTGGAGATGGGTGCACCAAAATCTCACAAATCACCACTAAAAAGCTTGCTCATGTAACCAAATACCACCTGTTCCCCAAAAAATGTATGGAAATAAAAATTTTTTAAAAAATCATGCAGTTATCTGTGGGAAGGAAGCTTCAGGAAGAAGAGAAAATGGAAAACTTCAGGCAGTGTTAGTAATACTATTTACAGCGAAGAGCTGGGAGATAATGGAATAGAGACAAAGTAAGTGTGACAGGTGGAATAATAAGAAATAAGTTCATAGACTTAAGAATTGAGGACATCATTTTCAACCAATGAACACTTATAAAGTTCTTGGTTTTTATTTTTAGTGTGAGGAAATACTGTATAGGGTTTGTGAAGAGAAATGATATAATCCAACCTACTATTTAACAGTATAACTCTGGCTCCTATATAGAGATTCAACTCAAGAGGAATAAGAATAAAATTACATGCATGCTACCACACTACAGCAATAATTCTGACACTAAAAAGACAGTTATCTGGGCCAGGATGGTAGCAAAAAATGTGTTCAGACACCAAATGTATTCCATATTTAGAAGAACTTTAATATATTAATTGAATGGAAGTAAAGTGTGTTTAATAAAAATAAAATTCCAAGATAATTCTTTTTTTTTCGGTGGGGAGAGAGCATGTTTTCTTAGTATTGCATTAAATGTCTATGAGCTGATGATACAAAAGAAAAGCAAACACAAGGACATGGGTATAGATTCTTACTAATTGATGAAAACCATTCAAACTGCAAACACAGTTTGCAGATATTAATTGCAAAAGTCTGAGACAAACACTTTCCGAGATGTGAGTGTATCAATAGGATTCTGATGTTACCAGGACTACTTTGATATTCCTTTGCATTTGTTTTCTGCATTAGCCTGAAATTCCCCCATTGAAGTTGCTGGAACCACTGACTATCCCGTCCTCTCTAGAACTTCAGTTTAAATAATCAGAAGTACATTTGCTTCCCAGGCTGCACTTCTGCTTATTGTTCAACTTTCAAAGGGCAAAGTGTCCTTTTCTGAATATTTGATCGAATGCCCAGAATTTAAAATGATTTCTCCACCTCTCTGACTTGTGGCTGAGAAAGCTGTCACTCGCAGACAGTTCTCCCTAAGATGTGTGTCTATATCTGAAACAGTTACAGAAAGCCTCTCCTGGCCACATAGAGTTGAAAGAAATAGTTAGGCTTGTAAGAAAAGTTATTGAAAGGTGACAAGAATTACATAATAATATGAGCTGAGTGTACAAATGAGTCCTCAGGAGAGGAGGGCAGTGTCCTCACTTCAAGCCAAGTAAAGGCCCCAGGCCCACCCATTGCTGGCTTGAATGCTCTGTTTCAGCTTAAGCTAAAGCCTATATTTACCCAGTTCTGGAGCTCCTCTGTGTTTTATTTACTTTTTAAAAATTCTTAATTTGACTTTTTTTGTGGGTACATAATAGATACATATTTAGAGTATATGAGATAATTTGATGCAGGAAGACAATGCATAATAATCACATTACTTCAACATAATTCTTAAATCTTTGCTTGACCAAGTAAAGGGTGGTTTTCCATTAATGTGTGATTAAAATTTAGATATTGCTAGTACTGACCTGGCAGTTAAATTATAATGATAAAGTATGTTAATTATATATCTAAAGCCCATTGAATATTGTCTGAACAGTGCTCAGAAAAAAAAATTATTATTATTTTCATCTAGCCATCATTATTTGAAAGAAAAAATAGCTGTTCATATTTTGCTATGCTGAATTACAGGGTTTTTTTGTATTTATGTTATATGGCACTTTGGCATGACACTATGAATCAGAGGACTATGCCTTAAATTAGACAATATCTTACATAAAATATAGTTTACATCACTATAATAGCGAAAGTATAAGTCAAATGTGAACAGTCTAAATCTTTCATATTGCACATAGATTATTGTATACTTTTCTATAATATTATGTGAATACATTTTAGCTTATACAATGAAGAGGATAAGGTAGTCCTAATTAAAATAGAATTTAAGCAATTTCTCAGCATAAGTGTTGTCTACAAAGTGATAGATTCTGTTGGCCATCTTTGTAACTCAAATTGACAGGATCCATTTTCTAAATCATAGAAATAGACATAAATGAAAGCAAGATAAAACCATAGCTTATAAAAATGACTAGAAAAATGGAAAGAGCCTATAAATACATGAAATTATATCATGCATTTATAAGATGAGAATGAGCCAAAAAACATATTATTAAACAATAAATTCCTACTACATACTTGTTTCTAATTGCAAACGAAAACAAATAGGGGAACCTATAAATATATATTCTGGACGACATGGATATCAAAGCAAAAATTAGATCATAATAATTTTATATAGCATTAGTATTTGATAAGGCAAAGTTTTGAAATAAATTAAGAAAGTAGAGGAAATAATATATATTTAAAAGATCTGAATAAGTTAGTTGACAGTTTGAATTACTGAAAAAACATTAAAATATTAACTCAAAATGGAGGTTACATTCTATTTTAAACATCCATAAAGCACTTAAAAAACAAAGAGGACAATTTTACAAAGAAAACAAATTTCAAAAGGTAAAAAAAAATTGCTTGAATGAAAACAATCTAGTAACTGTTACAAAAATTTAAATAAAAAATCAAATACTTGGAAAATGGAAAATAGCTTCTAAAATAACCTTTAAATAGCACAGAAAAACAATACTGTGATTCCAGAATACGTAAAAGAAAAATTTAAAAATAAAAGACCTTTTATCACTCTGCCTGACTAAAGTTTATGAGATGTCACAACATCTGAATTCATCGTCAATTCTTTGCTTTACAACTTTTCTGTATTAAGAAATGTAAAAATCAATGAATAAAGCATTTAATTCAAGGATTTATTTTTAAAACTAAAACTTGTACACATCAGGAGCAAGGCAATGATTTTTAAAAACACACAGAATTTTAACAAAGAAACAGTTTGACTCTTTACAGAAGTCAAGTTTTCAAATGTTTAACACACAAAAGAGATATCACTGCATGTAGATTTTTAATGTGGTGAGTTAATATTTCAAGTCCAAAACATTGTGAAATGAGTCTTGATTTTGCCTATGTACCAAGAAAAAATTTATATTAGCGTTGTCAATGACAAAGAGATTATCCAATGTTAAACTTGTAAATGGATACAGAAAGCTGAAAATCAGTACACAGAAAGTGATATTTAGTTTACATATGTTATACACATGCACATATTCAAAACTATTGATCTCGAAGAACATGCACAAAACTCGATATTTGTTTTTCTTAAACTGAAAACAAGTTTATTAGAAAAATAAAGAAACAAAAGAATGGCTATGCCATAAGCAAAACAGCCAAAACTCAATATTTTGAGGGTTTCTATTTTCCTTAATATTTTATAATATTTTTCAAATTTTCTCTAACAATATATGCTATTTTATTATAACTTAATTTTATCAAAATATTTTATTTCCTAAAGTCCAAATTGTGAACTACTGATATTATCTTTTTTTTTCCTTTTTAGTTGCTTGTGTGCCTGTAAATTAAATTAACCAAAAGTAATTTGTAAAACACAAGTGAATATCCTTCACAAAAGGCATTGTGCTGGAATGCAAGTCTTCTAATGAGAATAGGCAGCATTGATTATTGTCACCTTAAATACTTTACAGCTACTCTCTGATCAAATTTGGAGTTATTATTTATCTTGTGCACTTAAGGAAAGAGAGTTTTAAATTTTAGGTAACATATTCTGGGTTGTATAGCTGAAAATGTAGCATATTTAGAATCTAACTCTTGGAAAACTTTATTTCAAAACAGTACTCCTAAAGACTCTGTTATAATTCTTCCCCATATAATAAATGAAATAACTTCTGAGACTGTTATCACTGTGCCCCAAATCGTTGTTTTCCATAATAAATTTACCTACAACTGAAGTATGCATAGGAATTTGTGTAATATAATTTTAAAGGACAACCATATTTTCTTATTTTCCACATCAGTTGCTTCTAAAAACATATATTTAGACTGTAAATATGACACACATATTATTATTTTTTGTTTTGTTTTGTTTTGTTCTGTTTTGTTTTGAGACGGAGTTTCGCTCTTGTTGCCCAGGCTGGAGTCCAATGGCACGATCTCGGCTCACTGCAACCTCTGCCTCCCAGATTGAAGCGATTCTCCTACCTCAGCCCCGCAAGTAGCTGGGATTACAGGCATGCACCACCACACCCAGCTAATTTTTTGTATTTTTACTACAGACCACATTTCATCATGGCTAGGCTGGTCTTGAACTTCTGACCTCATGTGATCCACCCACCTCGGCCTCCCAGAGTGCTGGGATTATAGGCATGAGCCACCGTGCCCGGCCAACACATATTATGATTTCTAATTACAATCTGGATTTCTGAAAACATACACCTTGAAATGTTCAAGATCACGTTTAGTCAAGCAAAGGTTAGCACAACAGAAATGCAAACATGAAGGATTCAATTGTTTTTATAGGGAGACCAAGGACATACCAAATAGAAAAGAAAGAAAAGATGAGTTTAAATGTTCAGCATTCCTGCTATTTTAATTACCTGGAGTCCTGTCTTCTCTGCATGACTCTAATGAGAGCATTTTTAACTTCTTTGTTTCTAAGACTATAAATGAGTGGATTCAGCATGGGAATCACAATAGTATAAAAAACAGAAGCCACTTGATCCCTTCCCAAAGAATAAGACTTTCTTGGTTTTAAATAAGTAAAAATCATAGTTCCATAAAAGATGGTGACTCCCAAGAGATGAGAGGCACAAGTAGACAAAGCTTTCTGCTTTCCTGAAGTGGAATTAATTTTCAGGATGGTAGAGAGAATGGACACATAGGATGCAGATATTGTGATAAGGGACACCATCAGGGTGGAACCAGCTAAAATGTGTATCATGATTTCAATGTCGTATGTGTCCATGCAGGACAGAGCTAAAATTGGAGACGTGTCGCAGAAAAAGTGACGAACTACATTTGAGTCGCAGAAATGCAGTCTGCTCATCCAAACCACATTGACAAAGGAGTTGATAAAGCTAATCACATAGGGCCCAGTGACAAGAGCGCAACACAGCCTTTTGGACATAATAACTGGGTAACGTAGAGGACTGCAGATAGCTACGTAGCGATCATAGGCCATTGATGAGAGAAGAAAACATTCAGCAGCTCCCAAGAAGACAAAAAAGAACATCTGGGCAAAGCAGCCCATGAAGGAAATATAGTTGGAAGTCAGTAAGTTCGCTAAGGTTTTAGGTGTGATGACAGTTGAGTAACTGAGGTCAATAAATGACAAGTGAGTAAGGAAAAAATACATGGGAGTGTGAAGCTGGAGGTCCAGGCGGATTATCAATATCATCCCCACATTGCCCAGCATAGTAATTAGGTATATCAGGAGAAATAGTATAAAGAGGGCCATCTGGACCTCTTCAGAATCTGACAGTCCCGTAAGGATGAAGTCAGGCACATTTGTGTTATTTCTTCTACCCATGATGTTCAATTGCTTTAAACTGCTGAGAAATCAAAGTTGATACTTAACATGAATGACTTCAAAAGGTTTCTGATTATACAATAACCTAGCATTTAATTCATTTAGTGTTTCTATAAATTGCTAATACATTTATAGAATGTGACCTTAAAACGGAATTATATTGCCAATGTAGATAAAAGTGTAAATTAACATTTAGATGTGATATAATAAAATGTAACATATTGCATAATTAGAATGAACCTGACCTTGTTCTGAATGCCTTCCTTTATTAATACATTTAATCCACAAGAAAATACTATGCCATAGATACTACTATTATCGACATATTTTAGCCGAGAAAAAAAGAGTATGGAAGGTTTGAGTAACTTATCCAAAGTCAGAACAATTAAATGTTGACGCTGATTCTGCCAACATATGTTGACTTCAGAGAGAAGGCTTATAATACTATACTCCTGTTTATAAATAATTTCAGAAAACCTGAGAAAGAGCTAAACATGTAATAAACAATGAGAGGAAACAGTTTTTAATAGATTATTTACTGCCCCTTTGTTTCTAATATTATTTAATGGTAATTTTAAATAAATTTCACACTTAAGGATTTTAGCAGGATACATTAAAATTATAGACCATATATAAGTATTAATTTATACAAATATGATGTTTTAGTAACTTAACCAATCAAAATCAAATTTCTTCCAAAAATTATATGATCAAAATATGTACTTTGCTTGTAGACTCTGATTCCATCAACTCTACATATCTCTTTTCACAAACCCGGACATTACTCAGGGTAAGGACTAGATGACATGTATATGTATATTCTTATGATAAAGTCCTGAATTAATTTCATCTGAAATAAAATCTTCCAATTTTGAGAATAATACTTACCGTGTCTGAGCCAAAGTTGGTGAAAAAGCTTTCTTCTCATATTATCTGTCTAGAAATTTGTCAACCTCAATTTTTCTTATAAATAAAATATGAAAACCATTTAAGGAGATAAAATTTTCTCCGATATAATATTTGTTTTCCTTGAGATAAGTTGTTTTTACATTTTTGTGCATTCATTTTGTTTTATTCTGTGTCAAAAAACCAACCTAGAAATTTCGTTTAGGTCCTGGTCAAATGGAAAGATTACCAGGAAGTTGTGTGTCAAAAGAACACTGGGAATCTCTGTGACTATAGGTAGATTATTCTTTACCTCTCACTCTGATAATTCCAGAGTACCTAATATATGAGGGGCTGATGATAATGCACCTTTTGGTAGTCCCTGTGGACCAATTTCCAATGAAGAATTGCTTGGTATGTTTCCAAGGATAAAGGTGCAAGGAATAAAACAGCCACGATAGATTTTGAGCAAAGGTTTTCCTTTTTACCTTACAAGCCACACAAATGAAGGAAATTATGGATTGGTCTTTTCTTGTGATGTTTTCAATATTTTACTGGGATGGTGGAGAAGCCATTTCCAGAAAAATAATTATTCTCTGACACCATCAAAGATGGAATAACACATTTTTTTCAATTAAAATTTTGTATATTTAAATGTATGATACTATCATAGAAGTAAACATGTTAATTAGAAAAGAATCGGCCGGGCGCGGTGGCTCACGCCTGTAATCCCAGCACTTTGGGAGGCGAAGGCGGGCGGATCACGAGGTCAGTAGATCGAGACCATACTGGCTAACACGGTGAAACCCCGTCTCTACTAAAAATACAAAAAATTAGCTGGGCACCGTGGCGGGCGCCTGTAGTCCCAGCTACTCAGGAGGCTGAGGCAGGAGAATGGCGTGAACCCTGGAGGCGGAGCTTGCAGTGAGCCGAGACAGTGCCACTGCAGTCCGGCCTGGGCAAAAGAGCGAGACTCTGTCTCAAAAAAAAAAAAAAAAAAAAAAAAAAGAATCAGAATATAACAAAATTCAAAAAAGAAAATGAAAATAATTCTAAACTGTTAACATTTTGTAAACAGTATAATTTTTACTAATTATTTTCTTTTGTGCACTTAATTCCTATATGTACATGTATGTATAGGTTGCATAATAATACTATATATTCAGTGTATTTTCATCATCTGATAACCAAAATTTTTTGCTATGCCATGAACTGTGTTATATTAACCTTTTATAAACCCTACAATTCTATGGTTCAGGTTTTGGCTAGTGCCCCGGGGATAACTTACTAAGTTAACTAACTGTTTACCAGCTGATAAGTAGACATTTTGAAGCATTACCAAAAAAGTGATGCAGGTGATTTATTCTGGTTTGGCAGTGTCACCTAATTCATCTACATGAAATATTTGTGCAATATGTTTTGCTATTTTCATGTACTTTTTAAATTTTTATGAAATAAAAGTGAGAGCAAAAGGACACAATCAGCCCTGAGACCAATAAACATTTTATAATGAATTTAGTTGCTTAAAACTTACTTCCTCCATATATAATCAGGTCAAATTTTTTCTTAAATATGGGTTAAAAGTATATAGAAATTGAGCTGAACTATTGTACAGAGAACTATTTGCCCAAGATGGGGAAGCAAAGGAAGAGTCTGGAAGAAAACACAGTGTGAATCAGGGTAAAATATTAATGTGGTTTTGTGTTAAGTAATGATAATAAAATCAATTTTCATGTAAATTTAAAAGTGAGTCTAGAAGGAAGCATGACCATAATCTAGAATTTCAGGAGATAATTTGTTGGTATGTATAAAGCGGCTACTTTTGTATGTATTTATTGTACATTTGATGAGTTTTTGGAAGAGCAATTCTGTTCATCAGAAATTTAGTGATCCTGAGACAGGCTAATGTGGAGATTAAAAAGCCAGAATCACACCCTTTGACAATAGGTATCATTAGGTTTTAAGCCAAATAAGAGGCAAAAAGTGACTTTTTACGTCAAGGCCACCTCAATAGACTTGGTGATTGCAAAGTTGCCATGAACAAGGGGTTTTCTTGCTCATGTTTTTTCTAACGTTAAAAACTATTTTGTTCAGGTTCAGAGTTGTTTATAATGGCAAGAAAATTATTTTACCATTTACTATGTCATGGCAAAAGCCTAATTCTGATCAGAGATTTTAAATCTCTCAATTTAAATGATATATAGTGTAATGCTCTAGGTAATTATATTTTATTTTTGTTATTATTTATTTATTTAGAGACAGAGTCTCGCTTTGTTGCCCAGGCTGGAGTGCAGTTGTGCTGTCTTGACTCATTGCAACGTCCACCTCCTGGGTTCAAGCGATCCTCCTGCCTCAGCCTCCCAAGTATCTGGGACTACAGGTGCTTGCTACCAGGCTGGGCTTATTTTTTGTAGAGACAGGGTCTCACTAAGTTGCAAAGGCTTGTCCCGAACTCCTGGGCTCAAGCGATGTTGCTGCCTTGGCCTCTCAAAGTTCTGGGATTACAGGTGTGAACCACTGTGCCTGGCCTTAAGTCATTATGTTTTAAACCATGTTACTTATGCCCCTTCTATTCTCTCTCTCTCAATCTCTCTCTCTCTTCTGGATTATGTTTACTATTGTTTTCTTTGTCTTTCATCTTTGACTCAATAAAAAAAATGAACTTTTTTTGATAAATTTTGTTCAAATACTTACTAACTTGCTTATTCGTTAGTTATTTTAGTTATTTGTGTTTTATTATTTTATTTCCCCTACTTTATCAGGTTGCATACTTTGACTAGGTAATGAAAATACCTAGTAAAAGTATTTTCTTATGGTTACCTGTTTAATAATACCAGAATTTAATATTTGCATTATTCATCTGGGTGTCACTTTTCACTTATATAGATGATCTGAATTATTCCTATTGTGGCATATTATGAAAATAGTGTAAAGTTAATTTTTTATTTCTTATTTGACTAAGATTAACCTCAGTTATGCTTAGTCATTAAGTTATTAAAATCTTAATAAAATTATAATTCTAATTTTTTAAAATTTTGAGTTAAAATTATTTTTATCTTACAAATATTGATTGATTGATTTTTATTTATTTATTTTTAGAGATGGAGTGTCACTCTATTGCCCAGGCTGAAGTGCAGTGGTATGATCTTGGCTCACTGCAGCGTCTGCCTCTGGGTTCAAGCGATTCTTCTGCTTCAGCCTCCCTAATAGCTAGGACTACAGGTGTGTGCCACCACATCTGGGTACTTTTTATATATTTTTGGTAGAGACTGGTTTTCACAATGTTGGCCAGACCGGTACTGATAAAACTTTTTCAATGGTTATCTTCTAAAAACACCTGGGAGAGTTCATTAAATCAGGTTTAAGTCTCTTTTCAAGGAAAGCACCACCTCTCCCACCCCACACACATGAACAATACACACACATTTTCTTCCTTTAATGCTATAGAATTAACAAAGTTTTTCCGTTTGATTTGGAGATGCAAGAGTCTCTGTATATATCCAAAATATTCTAGGAATTATGCTACCACCAATGAGACATCTATAGTTAATGATAAATTAAACTCTCCTTTTTTTATAGAAAATATATGCCATAAACAGAGCACTTTTCTATGTAATCTAAAATTGTGTTCATACATATATGATGAAGAACTCATCTGTTAGGGGCAAATGACTCCATAGTATCAAGAGATTTCTCTATACTGCCTGGTATCTGTTGTTCCATTAGTGATGGCACTGAAATTATTTCAATCTTTCATTTTTCATTGTGGCTAATATTTGCTTTGTTATTTTTATTTTTTGTTTGTTTGTTTAGTTCTGTACTCTTTGCTTTCAGGTGATCAGCTGTCATTTAATATTTTTAGTAAAATGTAACTGTTCTTATTCCTTCATCTTCCATTTTTCTACTCTCAAGTTGCCAATAGCTGAGAAAACAGAATGTCAAATTATATTGTCAATTTAATTTTTTTTTTTAGTTTTTAAAACATTTTTTAGTTTTTTATGGGTCCATAGTAAATGTGTATATTTATGGGGTACATGCGATGTTCTGATACAGGCATGCAATGTGAAATAAGCACATCTTGGAAAATGGTTTATCCGTCTTCCAAGCCTTTATCCATTGAGTTATTATGTTGGTGCAAAAGTAATGGCGGCTTTTGCCGTTTGTTTTATGTTTGTTTTGTTTTGTTTTAATAACAAAAACTGCCATTACTTTTGCACCAGTCTAATACAAACAATGCAGTTACGTGATATAAGCCAGGCACAGAATGACAAAAATTGCATGTTCTCAATGTAATAATTTTGAACCTGTTTCAGTGTGATGGCATACTCACATATGAATGTTCGGATGCCTCTTATTTCCTTGTACATGTCTATGTCTGAATAATTTATATTCTGAATTGACCTCCAAATACAGGGTGTTAGTGGTCCATATAATGAAATAATAATTAAACTTACAAACTGCAAGTCTCTAAGTTCTCATTTAGTTTGTGTTATGCTTTTTGATGTTACTCTGCTATTTTCCTAGTTGTTGGCATAATTGAATTACTGAAGCCATCCACGTTTGTTTTAATTATAACATACATAAATTTGTCATGGAAAAAGTTTTCTATGTATGACTCTCAAAGAGCATTTTTTACATCTTTGTTCCTCAGACTCTAGATGAGTGGATTCAGCATGGGAATGACAGTCATATAGAATACAAATGCCAACTGTGCGTGGATCAGGGATGATGTTTTATCCAGTTGCAAATAGGTGAAAATCAGGGACCCATAGAAGATAGTTAACCCATGAGGTGGAATGCGCAGGTGGAGAAGGCCTTCTGCCATCCTGCTGCCCACTGGTTCTTCAGGATGGCTGAGGTGATGGCGATATAAGTGACTGTGATGATAAGGATAGAGCCAAGAAGAGTGAATCCAGCTAAGGCAAAGCTCACCATTTCTGTGCTGAATGCATCTACACAGGACAGTGCTAAAAGAGCTGTGGTGTCACAGAAAAAAAAGATTGATGCTGGAATCACAGAACAAAACCACTTATCACACAGACAGATACCAGAGAATTTGTGAAACCTATCGTGTATGACATTACTCCCAGCCAGTTGCACGCTTTCTAAGAAATGACTACTGAATGAGGGATTCCAGATTGCTACATAGCAATCATAGGCCATTGATCCCAGCAGGAAACACTCAGTACACACCAATCCAACAGAAAAGTACATTTGAACAAAGCAGCCAACAAAGGAGATGGATCTCTGATTGGATTGGAAATTCGCCAATGTCTTAGGTGTTACGGAAGAGGAGTAAAATATGTCAATGAATGCTAAATTGCTGAGGAAAAAGTACATAGGGGTGTGAAGCTGAGAATCCATTCTGATTAACATGATCAGTCCCAGGTTTCCCAAAATAGTGAATAGATAAATGAAGAGAAACATCAAGAAAAAACTGACTTGTAATTCAGGGTGATTTGCATATCCAGAGAGGATGAAGACAGTCACCTCAGTGAAATTGCTGCCAGCTGTTTATATCAACTCAGGCCTTTGACTTACCTGCTCAATAACAATAAGGAAAGTTAGAGAAGGATTCAAATCTAAAGGCCCTATAATCAAATTTGACTCAGACTTCAACAATGAAAGAGTTACAAATGGAAAGGAAAATTTAGTGATTTCAAGTTAGGGATTTATGCATAATTTTTATTTTTTACAAATTGACAGACATTAATTAAAACAAAGTTCACAATTTTGTGGACTAAAAAACATGTGTCTGGAAGGATGTCTAGGACGAAAGATTCCTCCTGAGATGTACCATTCTCTGCCCCAGTCTAACATCGGGTCTTGCAATTTAATGAAAATAACTGTATCTAATGAATATTCTAATTTATCTAATGAAATTAATTTTATCTAATGAATACAGTAATTTATCTAATGAAATTAATTTTAGCTAACAAATATAGCAATTTAATGAAATTAATTGGTGATTTATCTAATGAAATTAATTGTATGATACTCAGCAATTTATCTAATGAAATTAATTATATGATACTCTTAGAAAAAATAAAAAACCCATTTAGAAAAGGAAGTTCTACAATTTGTGAACTTAGTAATTCCTTTTTGTTGCAGTCTTATTTTCTTAACATCTAACTACTTCACAGGATTATTTTAGGAGCTTAATAAAATCTTAGGCGGACATAGCTAATATTTCCTTGGACTCTGTAAAGCTTTTTAGATTTTGTTAAGAAAAAAATAGAAAAGACAAAACTAGACACATCCCGCTCACTTGACATGTTAATGCTAAAACTTCTTATACCTTTTTCTCCTATCATGTATTCTTTCTGTCTTTGGGTGAGGTGAGACCAAATGTCTTGCTCGTCATGAAGGGCATTTTTCTTAAAGCCTCATGGAAGACGCAGACATTAAAAAATAAAAAGTTTCTCAATGTGAGAAACATGCAAATAATACTCACAGGCTGGCAGACATGCAAATTTTAGGGGAAAAAAAGGTAATAAAATTAGATATGCCTGGGATTCAATAATCCAAACGAAACATCCTTTTTTTCAGTTATCTTCCATTTATTTTCAGGTTTGTTATATTTGCCTCATCTATAATTCTGAATCCCATGAATTGTCAACATAATGACTTGGATCTGTTGTTGTTGTTACTGTAGTTATTTAGCACAGAGCTCTATTTCCTATATAATGGACCCTAAATATTATGATGTTGATGAAAAATATTGGTGGTTTTGATGATAATGCTGGGTATTATATATATTATCTTCCATTGATAAGATAGAAATAAGAGCCAAATTAACTTGTTAACTTGTTTTTGTGTGCATTCTTGAGAATTGAAAGTTTATATTTTTTGTTCACGTCTAGATTCTTATTTAGAATTAGTTTTGATCTTAGCGTATTTCTAAAGCAATCCCATGACAAAATATTTTCTTCTGAAATCTCATACGTTAAGCAGTATTCTTATACCTGCAACTCTTCCTCAAACACTTAAACTCACCTAATAAAGAGGTTAGACAATTATCATCTTTAATCTCTTGAGATTCCTATCTTAATTGTACTCGAGGATCTCTTCTTAATTTGTCTGGGGTATGTCTCCAATAGAAGTCTTTGGAAATGTATAATATTTATTTTTGTGTATTCAGTTAAATAACAGCAGATATTATTTAAAAATTCAATTGATGTAGCTTTAAAAATCATGCTATTTACATGTTATTGGTAGATGTATACATGAAACATTTATGAAAAATTAAATCATTATGAAAATAAAGGTGACATATGATGTTAGGGTATCTCAGATAACCACTGTTTCCCAGATAACCCTCTTATGCAACAGAAGTAAGCTTTCCTACTCATTGACTTAATACTGTTAATATGTGTTGAAATTACATTACCATCCATGTCAACAATCATAGATGTGTTTACTTTTAACTCAGGCAGTTATTTTTAATTGTGCTTAATGGTATATACATAATATCATTGGCTGATAATAAGTATGCCATCTAAGAAAATGAACAAGAAACCTACGGTACAAATCAAACTCATGCTTTCCATTTAATGATCAATTTATGAGTAAATACAATATTTCTCACAATTGTATTCACATTATTATCATTTATTTTTGTTTGTTTGTTTCAGAGCAGCTTCCTAGCCTATGCTACTATACAGATTCTGGTTTATTAGGTTTGGTATTGACCCATAAAATTAAATTTTTTAAAATGCCCCACGTTACATGGATTATACTTGGGCAAACACTAGCTTGGAAGGATCTCTCAGACTTGTCTAATTAAATTATTTTCTGCTGTGATTGTTACATTCTCCTTATTTCTTGTTTTTAAAGGGGGGCTTACTTTTAATTGACAAGTAATAACTGTTTATATTTATGGAGTACATAGTGGTGTTCCAAAACATAATGTGTAGTGACCAGGTTATACATATCTATCATCTCAAACATTCATCATTTCTTTGTGTTGGGAATATTCAGTATCCTCCATCTAGCTGTTTGAACCTACATAATATGATATTGTTAACTGTAGTCATTGTACGGTAGTACAGAACAATAGAACACATTCCTCTTCTCAAGCTGTAATTTTGCATCCTTTAACAAATCTCTTCTTACTGTTACATAATGAAACAAGACAGATATTTTCATGGGGAAAAGAAAATACATTTTTCCTAGCAACAGAAACCATCTCTAATGTTACCTGTCACATTAGAGGTTTTAAAAAAGTAATAAAATCTATTATAGATGTGCCTTATCACTCACTGATAATATTATCAGATATTAGGACAAAATAAATGGTATACAGTAGTCCCCCATTTTTTGTGGTTTTACTTTCTGTTGTTTCAGTTACCCTTGGTCAACGAGTCTAAAAATGTTAAATGGAAAATTCCAGGAATAGACAAATTAGAGGTTTTTAAATTGTGCATTTCTGAGTATTGTTATAATGGTTCCATTTTATTAGTGGTTATTGTTAATCTTTTACTGTGTCTAATTTACAAATTAATCTTTATCACAAGTATGTATGTATAGAAAAAAGTATATATCAAGTTTGGTAGTATCTGAAATTTCAGGTATCCACTGGGGTTGTAGATTCTTTGAGGATAAGGAGAGACTGCAGTAATTTTTCCCCCAATAAGTGTGCAATTTGATAAAATTATACTTTGAAAGAATTGGGCTGTACCCCTTCAATATTAACTTTTCATCTACTCTTACTTATTTGTTCAACACAAATTGATTAAACAGCTATTAGACAGCAGGCACTATGCTTTTTGTGGGACTTCAACTATGAAAATGATATCATTTCTCCTTTCACACTACCTAGAGTTAATTGTCTCTTTCAAGATTCAAATTTTGTCTCAGCTATTTAATATTCCGATATTTGGTGAACTAATATGTATAGTGTTCACAAATACACAATTGCTATAGGGGCTATTGTTGACCATGTTACAGGACAAATAGACATTTAATAACTACTTGATTAACTGAATTTACATCTTCCTGCACATCTATTTTGATTTCTGTCAATCAAATCTTTTTAACTTTTCATTAACTATTTTAGCTTTACTAATGTTAACTTAATCATAGGGTGAATATTAATACTTAAGAAATGTATGGTGATAAAACAGTATTAGCTAAACTACAGACTTACTAAATTTCACCAAGTTTTCCACTGAAGTCCTATTTTCTCTTCCAGGATCCAATCCAGGATGCCAGGTTGTGGTTAGTGTCATGTCTCCTTAGTCTATCGGAGTCTGTTCCTGTTCAATATTCTTTTCTTTTCTTCATGACTGTGATACTTTTTTAGTACCTGTCAAGTATTTTATAGGTTATCCTTCAATTAAAACTTGCCTGATGTTTTCTACTGATTAAATTGAGGTTTTTCATAATTGGGAATAGTTCCAGAGAGGCAATCTGTATACCATTTTCCATTTTATCACAGGGTATATGTGTTGATAGGTGATATTATTAGTGATATTAAACTTGATCATTTAAAGTAGTGTGTGCTGGACTTTTTTTACTGTAGAAGTATAATTCTATCTTTGTATTTATTAAATATTTATTGGGGGAAAGCTAATTTAGACTATGTAAATATTTCATGACTACTTTTTACTATTCATCAATGTTTGTTGCTTGTAACAATTATTACTGTATAATTTTGGTAAAATTTACTATTTTCCTTACTCTTTCTATATATTGGAATTATTCTGTAAGGAAGAGTTGTTATTTCTCCCCTATATGTTTATTTATTCAGCCTTCTATTTAAATCAATATGCACTCATAATTATTTTACTCTTTATGTTATTATCTCATACTGACATCATTTATTCTGTTGTTCAAATCGTTCTAGCTTTGCTAATAGAATCACCATCAAATTGGCTCCTGGGCTCTTTGCTCTTTGAACATGTCCCTGTCTTTTAAAATTCTTTTTGTCACTGTTGTTTTGTTTTTACTTCTTACACTCTAGCAGCACAAAGTGCTCCAGGTCATCTTGTATTTTCCTGGACTCAGCTCTAAAATTAACCACTGCTCCAAGGAGTCTTGCTTTTATGAGACTACGGCATTTAGAAAACAGGATCTGAACAATATTATACTATTATATGTGTACTTATATATTTTCCCTTTAATTAGGATTCACACATATTTTGAATACTTTTACATTCTCAACATTTTGCAATTATAACTTTTCAAGTAAAGACTTTATGCTATGGTAAAAAATCTTTGTATTTGGAAACCATAATTCTGAATTTGTATCTAGAAACATCATATAATTACTTTGTGACCATGTGAAAGTTTCTTAAGCTCTCATATCGTCAGTGTCCATGTTTGCAAAGTGACAATACTAGAACCTGCCTCATGTGTTTGTGAATATTCAATTAAATATTATATATGAAGCACTTAAAATTATGTTGAGGATATGATAGGTATTTAATAAATATCTATCCTATGTTGGTAATACGAGTGACTTTATAATAATCTATTCTATTTATACAACCCCATTTATTAAACTATTTTCTCTACCGTTGGGTATCTCCATTAATCATAGTTTTAACATGTTTTTTGTTTTTTGAGATGGAGTCTTGCTATGTCACCCAGGCTGGAGTACAGTGGCGCGATCTCGGCTCACTGCACCCTCTGCCTCCCAGGTTCCAGCAATTCTCCTGCCTCAGCCTCCTGGGTAGCTGGGATTACTGGCGCCAGCCATCACGACTGGCTAATTTTTGTATTTTTAGTAGAGACGGGGTTTCACCAGGTTGGCCAGGATGGTGTCGCTCTCTTGACCTGGTGATCCGCCAGCCTCGGCCTCCCAAAGTGCTGGGATTACAGGCATGAGCCACTACACCCGGCCTATTTTTACAGTTTTTAACTTTTATTTTAGGTTAAGAGGTGTATGTGCAGGTTTGCTGTATAGATAAATTGCATGCCACTGGGGTTGTGTACAGACTGTTTTGTCACCCAGGTAATAAGTATAGCACCTGATTGCTACATTTTCATTCCTCACCCTTCTTCCACCCTCCTAATCTCAAGTATTCCTGTGTCTGTTTTTCCCTTCTTTGTGTCCACATGTACTCAGTGTTTAGCTTCCACTTATAAGTGAGACCATGCAGTATTTGGTTTTCTATTCCTGTAATAATTTACTTTGGATAACGCCCTCTAGCTCCATCCATATTGCTGCAAAGGACATAATATCATTCTTTTTAATGGCTGTGTAGTATTTCATGGTGTGTATGTACCAGATTTTCTTTATGCAGTCTAGCATTGATGGGCATTTAGGTTGATTCCATGTCTTTGCTATTGTACATAGTGGTGCAGTGAATATATATATGCACACATATGCCTTTATGGTAGAAAGATTTATATCCCTTTGGGCATATACTCAATAGTGGGATTGCTGAGTTGAATGGGGAGTATTTAAAGTTTTTTTCAGAAATCGCCAAACTCCTTTCAACAATGGCTGCACTAATTCACTTTGCTACAAGCAGTATATAAGCATTCCTTTTCCTCCACAATCTCACTGAAATTTGTTAATTATTGACTTTTAAATAATAGCCATGCTAACTGGTGTGAGATGGTATCTTCTTGTGGTTTTGATTTGCATTTCTCTAATGATGAGTGATGTTGAGCGTTTTTTATATGTTTGTTAGCCATGTGTATGTCTTCTTTGAAAAGTGCCTGGTCATGTCTTTTGACCACTTTATAATTGGGTTATTTGGTTTTTGCTTCAAAATGTATTTAAGTTCCTTATAGACTCTGGATATTGACCTTTGTTGGTTGCATAGTTTGTAAATATTTTCTCCCATTCTGTTGCAGGTTGTCTGGTTACTCTGCTGAAAGTTTCCTTTGCTGTGCAGAGCTCTTCAGTTTAATTAGGCCACATTTGTCAATTTTTGTTTTTGTTGCTCTTGGCATCTTCATCATAAAATCTCAGTTTGGACGTTGTTGATGTATAGAAATACCACAATTATTATAAATTTGTTTTGTACCCTGAAACTTTGCTGAAGTTGTTTATCAAATCTAGGAGTTTTGGGGTGGAGACTATGGAATATTCTAGGTATAAAATTATATCATCTGCAAACATAGATACTTTGACTTCCTTTCTTCCCATTTGGATCTCTGTCATTTCTTTCTCTGCCCTGATTTCTCTGGCTAGGACTTCCAGTACTAGTTGAATAGGAGTAACGAGAGTGGGCATCCTTGTCCACTTCCAGTTCTCAGGGTGAATGCTTCCAGTTTTTATCCATTCAGTATGATGCTGGTGTGAGATTTTCATCGATGGCTTATTATTCTGAGGTGTGTTCCTTCAATGCTTAGTTTGTTGAGGATTTTTTAACATGAAGCGATGCGAATTTATCAAAAGTCTTTTCTGGATCTATTGAGATGATTATGTTTTTTAAAAAATTTTTGCCTATGTGATGAATCACATTTACTTATTTGCATATGTTGAACCACGTTGCTTTTTAGGGATAAAACCTACTCAATCATGGGAATTAGCACTTTGATGTGCTGCTGGATCCAGTTTGCCAGTATTGAGAATTTTTCGTCTACTTTCATCAAAGCTATTGGCCTAAAATTTGTGTGTGTGTGTATCTCTGCCAGGTTTTGAGATCAGAATAATGCTGATCTCATAAAATAAGCTAGAAAGAAGTTTCTCCTATTTATTTATTTACTTATTTATGGAATGATTTCAGTAGAAATGGTACCAGTTCTTCTTTATATGTCTGGTAGAATTTAGCTGTGAGTTTGTCTGTTCCTGGGCTTTTCCAGATTTTTTATTACTGATTCAATTCCTGAACTCATTACTGGTCTCTTCTGGATTTCAATTTCTTCCTGTGTCAATCTTGAGAGGTTGTATGTTTCCAGGAATTTATCAATTTTTTCTAGGTTTTCTAGTTTGTGTGCATATTAGATGACTTTAATAGTCTCTGAAAGTTTTTTGTATTTCCGTGGGGTCATTGCCAATGTCCACTTTGTCATTTCGATTGTGTTTATTTAAATCTTCTCTCTTTTTTCTGTATTAGTCTATCTGGTGAACTATCTTGTCCATTCTTTTAAATAACTAACTTCTGGATTTGTTGATCTTTTGTATGGCTTTTCACATCTCAATTTAATTCAGTTTAGACCTGATTTTGGTTATTATTTGTCTTCTGTTAGTTTTGAGGTTGGTTTGCTTTTGTTTTTCTAGTTCCTCAAAGTGTGATGTTAGATTGTTAATTTGAGATATTTCTAACTTTTTGATTTGCGTGTTTAGAACAAGAAACTTTCCTCTTAACAGTACTTTAGCTGTTTCCCAGATATTCTGATATGTTGTATCTTTGTTCTCATTAGTTTTAATGAATTTCTTGACTTCTCCCTTAATTTCATTGTTTGCCCAGAATTCAAACAGGAGCAGATTATTTAATTTCCATGTAATTATATGGTTTTGAGTGATCTTCTTAGTATTGATTTCAATTTGTATGGTGCAGTGGTCCAAGAGTATGCCTGCTATAATTTCAGTTTTTTTTTAATTTGCTTAGAGTTGTTTTTATGGCAAATTATGTGGTCAATTTAGGAGTATGTGCCGTATGCAGATGATAAGATATATTCTATTTTGGTGGAGTGGAGCATTCTGTAGATGCCTGTTAGGTCCATTTGGCCAAGTATCTAGTTCATGTTCCAAATCTCTTTATAAGTTTTATGCCTCAGTGATGTCATATTGTTAGTGAAGTGTTGGACTCTCCCACTATTATTGTAGGGTTATCTAATTCTCTTTGTAGGTCTCTAAGAACATGTTTTATGGATCTGGATGCTCCTGCATTGAGTACATATATATTTAGAATAGTTAAGTCTTCTTGTTGAACTGAACCCATATTTAGCACTCCCTAAAGGACCACATAATGCCCTTCTTTGTCTTTTTTTAATGGTTGTTGGTTTACAGTCTTTGGTCTGATATTAGAATAGCAATTTTGTTTTGTCTTGTTTTCCATTTGCTCGGTAGATTTTTCTCCGTCCCTTTACTTTGAACCTATGGGTGTCATTGCACGAGAGATAGGTCTCCTGAGCACAGCATACAGTTGGGTCTTGCTTCTTTATGCAACTTGCCACTCTATGCCTTCTAATTGGGTCTTTAGTTCATTTACATTGGAGGTTAATATTGATAGGTGAAAATTTGATATGTCCCATTATCATGCCGTTATCTGGTTATTAAGCAGATTTGATTGTGTAGTTGCTTTACAATGTCGATCAATGGTCTATGTACTTAAGTGTGTTTATGTGGTGGCCAGTAAGTCTTTCATTTCTGTGTTTAACACTCCCTCAAGGACTTCTTGTAAGGATGGCATGGTGGTAATAAATTATCTTAACATTGGCTCATCTGAGAAGATCTTACTTGTCTTTTGCTTATGAAGCCCAGTTTGGCTGAATATGAAATTCTTGGATGGAGTTTCTTTTAAGAACACTAAAAAGAGGCCCTCAGTCTCTTCTGGCTTGTATAGTTTCTGCTGACAGGTCTGCCTTTAGCCTTATGGGGTTCCCACTGTAGGTGGCCTGCCCCTTCTCTCTAGCTTCCTTTAATATTATTTTCTTCCATGTCAACTTTGGAGAATTGACTATGTGTCTCAAGGATGGTTGTTTTGCATAATATCCAGCATGAGTTCTCTGCAATTCCTGAATTTAAATGTTGACCTCTTTAGTGACATTGGTGATATTTTCTTGGGTAATATCCTCAAATATGTATTCCAAGTTCCTTGCTTTCTCTCCCTCTCTTTCAGGGACACTAATGAGCCATACATTTGCTCACTTTACATAATCCCATATTTCTCAAAGGCTTTGTTCATTCTTCTTTATTATTTATTTTGTTTGATGGAGTTATTTTGGAGATCCATTTTTTGAGCTCTGAGGTTTTTTCCTCAGCTTGGTTGATTCCATGTTAATACTTGTATTATAAAATTATTGAAGTGAGTTTTTCAGCTCTATCAGACACATTTGCTTCTTTCTTAAAATGGCTATTTCCTCTTTACTCTCCTGTATTGTTTTATTATATTCCCTAGATTCCTTGGATTGAGTTTGGGCTTTCTCCAGAATCTCAATGATCTTCATTCCTATCCATACTCTGAATTCCATGAGTGACATTTCAGTTATTTCTTCCTGATTAAGAATCATTGCTGGGAAACTAGCGTGGTCTTTTGGAGGTAAGAAGACACTCTTTTTTTTTTTTTTTAGACAGAATGTCCCTCTGTTACCCAGGCTGGAGTGCAATGGCACAATTTCAGCTCTCTGCAACCTTGCCTCCCAGGTTCATGTGATTCTCCTTCCTCAGCCTTCTGAGTAGCTTGGATCATATGCACCTGCCACCATGCCCAGCTAATTTTTGTAGTTTTAGTAGAGATGAGGTATCGCCATGTTTGCCATGCTGGTCTCAAACTCCTGGCCTCAGGTGATCCACCTGCCTCAGCCTCCCAAAGTGCTAGAATTACAGATGTAAGCCATTGTGCCCAGCCCATTCTGGCTTTTTGAGTTGCCAGAGTTCTTTTCTGGTTCTTTTTCACCTATGTGGCCTGATGTTCCTTTAATCTTTGAAGTTACTGTCCTTTGCACTTTTGTTTTCTTTTTAATCATCTTTGATACCCTGGGATGTTTGATTTTCTTATGAGTTCAGTCAACTGGCTCTGACTCTGGAAGATGAGCTCAGCTCATCGCTCCTAGGCTGTGTGCTGTAATTGTGAGGGTTTGTATTGTGCCACTGACTTTGTTCTCTGACTCCTTTAGGTTAGAAACCTGCTGTGCTCAAGGGGTCAAGGTGTTTCCAGTCCACTGGCCCCAATACTGTGATGAGGGGTGCCAGCCAAAGCACTTTGTAAAGGTGGTGGCTTGTGATCCATGCTCACATATGTTTACCAGCAGCTGCAGTGTAATGGTGTGGTGCCCATGCATTGGAAGGGTAGTGATGGATTCACTGGCATCTACACACACATTTGTGTTGGTGGCATTGGTGGTGGCAATGGTTTAGTGCAGGTTGGGGAGATGGTTCCAGTGTCTGTACACACACTTGCACTGGCTACCTTAGTGATAACATGGCTGGCTGCCAGTGCCTCAGTGGGGGCAGCATGCCACCAGGGGTGGGTAGGATAGTGGGGTATTCTCATGCTGGCAGTATGATGGTGGGGTACGTGTGCACATATGCACTATCAGAGGAGGGGAGACAGATCCGCCCATATGCACATGCTAGTCAAGTTGTGGTGGGACTTCCATGTGGGGGGCGGGTGTTAGCAAAGCAGCAGGGGATGGTTGTGTATGGGCTGCTCATGTTGGCTTGGTCCAGTCTGCTAGACCTCTTCATTAGTTATGTGTGGCCTACCAGCAGAGCAGCTATGATGAGGGCCCCCAGAAAGCACTCTGATTGGATATTGGAGGCTGTGCTACAAGTAGGGACAGCCAGGCTGGAGCCACAGGAAAAGCTGGGAAACAGGGGAGCACTCAGATGAGACTGTCCCCATCACACAGACAAGATCACCCTGTTCTGTCCAGGTCTGTAAGTCTCCTAAAGGCTGAAGCCTCCTAGAGGAGCTTGGTGATCCTTGGGGAATGGGTATCCCTGGCCATGCTCCACTGAAGCTGTTCCTGCACCAAACCCTCTGTGCTCTGTAAAATCTGGAGTCCTGCCCCCATTACTTTTCTAAGCAGCAATTCCTGCCAGCTCAAGTGTCCATGGGGGATCATTGGTTCTCCTGCAACTAGGATTCTGGAGGCCCATGGATAAAGCAGGTTATTCTTTGTCTGTTTGACTCACCCATTCGCCAGGAGTGAGTGGGGTCCAGGAGTGGGTCCCAGTGCTCGGCAGGCCTGTGTAGGGTTCTCGACTTTCTACCCCTTTAGCCCAGTGTCTGCACTTTCTCTTTGTCTACTTTCAATGCCTTCTCTCTGAAGATCCATTCAGAGTGTGCCAGTCTTCCCAATGTCTCAGGAACTGGGAAATGTTATTTCTGGCTGTGTCCACTCGACCATCTAGGCTCCCCCTCTATATTGATATTTTAAATACCCTGTTTACCTCTTTTGCTACCAAAAAGTTGACTATTATATGTCTCTGTGAGAATCTTTTGTGTTTATCAAATTTGTTTGGTTTAGTCTCCTATATCTGCATATCACTGATATGTCTCTAATTGCAGGAGTTTTTGAAATATTTTTATTCTTTTCTCCTTAACTTCTGTTGCTACTCCAACTGACTCTATTGATAAACATAATAGTAGTACTGCAAGTGTCCAAGGATGTCTTGATTTTTTGGTGACCTTTCTTCTATTTTATTTAGAATGGATATTGTCTATTTACCTCTTTTTAAGTTGGTTGATTCTTCACCCTGCCTCTCAATCTTCTGTTGCATCTAACAAGTAAATTTTTCATTTCAGTTATTTTGTTTCTTAACTCCAGATTTTCTATTTGATTCTTTCAGAAAAAAAAAAATGCTTTTTTGATTTTCTCCTTTGGTAAGTCAATCATTTTCTACAGTACTTTTTTTTCTGAAAATTCTAACGCGTAGAACTGTCAAAAAACAAACTTTTGTTCTTTATAAATTGTCCACTCTTAGGTATTCTGTTATAGAAGCAAAAATGGACTCAAACAAATGCTCAGGCAGCTTACAGTTCTGCCAAAGGCTTCACTTTCTCCTTTTGCAGAGCCTCAAGTCAGGCATGGTTTCAGCCTCTAGGTTTGACACCTGAATATCTGTATTTTATGAACCTCTACCAATTGCATATTATACACTGAACCATGAGGATAAATTTTCTTAATATATTACTTCCATACTCAACTCTCAAATCTATTTTTAATGGATTCAAATTCTTTATTGATATTCATTTTTTGTGGATTTATTTTCTCAAGTACTGTAAACATTTTTCCAATTCTTTGAAATACTAGTTATGGTTTCTTTGAAATATGAGTCGGCTAAATCCAACATCTATGTCCAGTCACAGGCGGTGCTTATAGACTACCTATCAATCATATCCAAGTATAGGTCATTATTTCCTCTTTCTGTTTTTAATGACTCAGATTTGTACTGAGAACTGGAAATTTTGTAATATATTTTAGCACCTCCAAAATTTGATTTTATTTATTTTTTTCCCTCTATGATTCTCTGTTGCTGTGTGTGTTTTTGTTTCTTTGTTATAAAATACCTTGTTTAGAATTAATATGCAGAATTTGGCCACTAATTTATCTGCTCAGCATTTCCTTTGCATTATTAACTTTTAGCTTGACTTTCTAAGAGTTACCTCTTTGTCTTCTAGGTTAGTGGTCAAAGTTGTTCTAAAAATTTTTATTTCATAAGGCTTGCACCCTCTGCTGCTGACATGTGCCTGATTTGGGGAGCACATTAAACTGTATTAGTGTTCAAGTATACCCCAGCATTTACTTTCCTCTTGAGTACTCTCAAGTCTCCATTATGTGGGTATTTAGGTTGTCAGACAGCTGGTGATGTGTAGGATATTGGAGTTTTTATCAAATCCCTCAGTTGGCATCTCCTTTCTAGGAACTTTAAATTTCAGGCTAGTCCTCCCTGCTGCTACTTACCCCAACTATAATCATAACCTGAGGTTAAAAGAGTTGCGTTCACTACTGTGCATGGATTTTCTACCATTTACTCCAAATCTAATTACCCCCTACCCCTGCCTTTAACGTGGAAGTTGCTGGTTTTTGTGGATAGGCTTGCTCTGGACAAAAAATAAACAAGGTAAAATTATCAGACATGTATCATAGTTATATAATTATATATGATATAATGCAGGTATATAATGCAGAAAGAAACACAAATGTTACAATATTGATATATCACAAATAAAAAGTGACTTAAATACAGCAATGAAATTATAACAATAACATATATGCATGGTAAATACACACACATACACAAATTGTATGTGTTCACAGGATGACATTAGTAATATAGGACACACATATTAATAAAACATCAAGTTTTTGTCAAGACAGAAAAGAAAAATTTAGTTGAGGGTTAAACAGAATAAAAAAATGAAATGCTGCAATATGTAATAAAGAAAAAAACCAAAATCTAAATAATTTGTAAACAGAGACCTGATGGTAAGTCACAATAAAATAAATATTAAGATAATTTATTAATACTAATAAATTTACTGTGTTCTAAGTACTATTTTTATTTTTTATTTTTATAGGTACATAGTAGGGGTAATTATATCCATTTTTTATTTGAAGAATAAACAAAATTAAAATTAAATAATTTTATCCCTGATGAAATAAAAAGGAACAACATAAATGAGTAAAAAAGCAACACCTCTCCTTTGTGCATTATTTTATTCCATGTAAAATTCTTAAGTAAAGTAATAGGACAACGTTGAAAACCATCTCCACTCTGTCACCTTTTTGAGGAAACCACTGTGTATATACCACCTGCCGTGTATATACAATATTTTTTCTGTGAGCCTGCACTATAGATACAATATTTTAATCAAGAGTCCTCTGTGGTACAAATGCAAATTTAAGCAAGTGTAAAAAATAGGTAACAAACAAGTAAATTTAAAAAAACACTTCTTGGCCTGCTATTAGGCCTTAGAAACTGAAGTCTTGACTATCTTGACACATCATAAACTGCACGATTTCTGACTCACTCAGCCATAAAGTTGGACATACACAGTCCATTTTCCCTTCTTCATAATTTTACAAATAGATTTGTTCTCACTGCAGCTCTTAGCAACCTTAGCATAGGATTTTTTTTTTCTTTCATCTTTACACTGAAAGAAAGGAAGCACTTTATGCCTTCTCTTTGACATATCTGAATTGCCAGCATCATAACTCTTGCAGTATGGGACATCATTAAGTAAAATAACGGTTATGTAACACAGTTACTGCAATACTGTGACAGTCATCTGATAACCAAGATGGCTACTAAGTGGAACAGACAAGGAAAATATACACTGTGGATAACTGGACAAAAAATGATTCACGCCCTAGGTAAGATAGAGTGAAAAAGTGTGAGAATTTATTGTGCTATTTTGAATGATATGTAATTTACAACTTATGAGTTGTTTTCTGGAAATTCTCTTTAACATTTTTGGAACACAGTTGAATGCAGGTAACTGAAACCACAAAAAGCAAAAAATAGGTATCCAAGTGACTGCTGTATATGGTGTTCAAGACTGAACAGGCCCTGAGGCACAAGTAAGTTACATGAAGAAATAGCCTGATGCACATGGTCCCCGCTCCTCCTACACTATCTTCTGTCTCGCAGTCTCCACCCATGGCCTCATAGAGAGTGCCTTATGGTCAGATGACAGAGGAAGAAAAGACTCCAGTCCCATTTAAAGATAGTTCTGCATCATATGCAGACACCACCCTAAAAGTGGGCAACTGTAGCACTACAAGCCTTTTCTGGGACATTCCTGATGGACAGAAGTAAAGGGAAATACTCTCACTGTGCACAACTTTGAGTGGTGCACCTGGTGATGCACTTTGCTTAGAAAGTGATCATGAGAGAACAGACATGCGATAATTATGATTACATATGGATTCAGGGGCTGTGGCAAGTGGTGTGGCTAGATAGTAAAAAACGTGGAGAGGACATGATTGAAAAATTAATGACAAAGAAATTTAGGGAAGAAGTATGACCATAACTCTCTGAATGAGCAAAAAACGTGAAGATATTTGTGTCCCATGTGAATGCTCACCAAATGGTGACCTCAGCAGAGGAGGATTGTAATATTCAAGTTAATAGTATGACACATTCTGTGGATACTAGCCAGCCTCTTTCTTCAGGCACCCTGTCATCACCCAATGGGCTCACAAAGAAAGTGGACATGGTGGCAGGGACATAGGTTATGTGTGGTCTCACAGCAACATGGACTTCCACTCATGAGGGCCAACCTGGCCATAGTCACTGCTGAGTGTCCAATCTTCCAGCAGCAGTGAACAACACAGAGCCACTAATATGGCACCATTACCCAATGGGAGTAGCCAGCTGCCTGGCAGGAGTTTGGTTACATTGCACTGTTTCCAACATTTAAGAGCAGCATTTTGTTCTTAGTGCAATATATACTTACTCTGGATACAGATTTTCCTTCTCTGCAAGCAATTCTGCCAAAACTACCTTCCAAGTTATAGAATGCCTTATGTACCATCATGATATTCCACATGGCATTACATATATCAAGAAACTCACTTCACAGATAAAGAAGTGCAGCAATGTGTCCATGATCATGGAATTCACTAGTCATACTCACCATGCTGCCCAACATCCCAAAGAAACTGGCTTTGAAATTTTAATTACAATTCAGCTAGATGGCAATAATTTGAATAGCTGGGGAAAAGTTTGCAAGAAAGCTATATATGCTTTGAATTAGTCTCCAGTATATTGTGCTGTTTTTTTGCCATAGACTGGATCTAGTAGCCTAGGAATGAAGAGATGGAAGTATGAGTGACACCACTCACTATTTTTTTTAATTTTTTAATTTTTTTATTATCCTTTAAGTTTTAGGGTACATGTGCGCAATGTGCAGGTTAGTTACATATGTATACATGTGCCATGTTGGTGTGTTGCACCCATTAACTCGTCATTTAACATTCAAGACACCACTCACTATTAACCCTAGTGACCCACTGTCAAAATTTCTGCTTCCTGCTCCATTGACTTTAAGCTTTACTGACCTACAGGTCTTAGTCACAGAGGAATGAATGCTTCCACCTAGAGAAATAGCAATAATTCTATTGAATTGGAAGTTAAGACTCTTACCCAGCCATTTTGAGCTCCTCATGCAACTGAATCAATAGACAAAACAGGAAGTTATCACACTTGATCCTGACTTTCCAGGGGAAATTGGGCTATTACTTCACAATACAAGGAAGAATAAGCCTGGAATATGGGACATTCCTTAGGACATCTTTTATTAATAAGAAAAACTGTAATAATAATATACGGAAAACTGTAATAGCCCAAACTAGCCAGAACTACTAATGGCCCACATTCTTCAGGAATAAAGGTTTGGGCCACTTCACAAGGAAAAAAGAACCATGGCCAACTAAGGTGCTTGCTAAAGACAAAAGGAATAGAGTATGGAAAGAAGAAGAAGACGGTTATAAATACCAGCTATAATCATGTGGCCAGTTCAGAAATGAGGACTGTAATTGTAATGAGAATTCCATCCTAATTTTATTATAAATATGTCTGTGTATTTATTAAGATGCTTTATTCCATTTTTTATTACCTTATTATATAAATATGATATATGGACTTTACATCAATATTTAAATATTGTTACTTTTACACTGTAGAATTTTACTCTGAGAAAATCAGGAGAAGAGTCAGTATCACTCAAAGAATATATGTCCTGATTGGAATAAAGGATTAGTGAGTTTTTATTTATATGCCGGATAGTTGTGTCATGTAAAGCAAAACTATGACCTTGTTATTGTCTATGTTTAGAGAGACTAAGTATGGTTTAAGTACATGCTTATGTTTGCCAAGCTGACAAGGGGTGGAGTAATGACGATTAAAGTGTTGACTTAACTAGGCTATATGATGCCCAGATAGCTGGCAAACATTATTTCTGGGTGTGCCTGTGAGGATACTCCTGGAAGAGACTACGATTGTTAGACAGAGTAACTATCATCCTCACCAATATAGGTGGGTATCAGTGCAATCAATTGAGGCCTTGAATAAAACAAAAAGACAGAGGAAGGGTGAGTTCACTCCCTGCTTAAGCTAGGACATCCTTCGCTTCCTGCCATCAGACATTGACATCCCAGATTCCAGAGCCTTCGAATTCAGACTATGATGTACACCCTTGGCTCCCCTGGCTCCCAATATTTCAAGTTTGAACTGAATCTATACCACCAGCTTTCTTGAAGTTTGCAGACAGCAAATCACAGGAATCCTCAGCCTACATAATTGCATAAAACAATTCATAATAAATCTCTATTATCTATCTATCTATCTATCTATCTATCTATCTATCTATCATCTATCTATCTATCTATCATCTCTCATCTAACTATCTCTTCTTAGTACTGTTTTTCTGGAGAACTCTGATACACTAGTGAATACAAACTGTCTTCTACAACTAATGGACAGCCTCAAACATTTTGTTATGCTCTCAAATGCTTTAGGAATTATCAATAAATTGCCTGCCATCTCCTCAGGGAGAGTCTCAAAAGATTAAAAAATGCATAAATTGTTCTCACTGTGCCATGTGAGAGACACATGGAGGAGTCAAGACAGAGGCTTCCTTACAGGTAAAAAAAAAAAAAGTAAGAATGTTTCTTGTGGTGTCATATGTTACAGATATCTATAATGCTTCAGTGACATTGGAAAACTGCCACTTTAATTTGATGACATAACCATAGTAAAGTGTGACAATTTCTGATTCATTTCTCCGGGATTTCTGTTACTCAATAATGCCTAAGCAGAAATAACGGTGCTCCATTTTTCATATGCTTTTTAAGTATTTTACATGGTTTCACAGGCTGAATGCTATAAGCATCTTTGAAACATTATCATGATATTGTTTCTAAAGTATTCATTTTACATATTTTTCTCTAATTGAGGCCAAAACTTGGAGAAAATAAAGCACAATGACAAGGAGATAAATATATTTTTAATGAAAGAATGGAGAAACTGCAACTATTTGGTCAGTCATGTTCATGTCCTTCCAAATACTTGTTATTTAGATGCTCTAGGCTCTCAGACCCCTTAACAATAATTTAACACTGAATGATTATTCAAATAAATGTGTAGATATGATTGTTTTCTCACTGCTTGGTGAGTCAAAAAGGGGGTTGCTACCTTACATTCGAATGTGAAAAGCATTATTAAAAATTATGAGGCTTTTTGGGTAATCATAGGCACAGAAAAAAAAAACATTTTAAAATAGAAGAAAATAAAATTAGGAGACTGTTAAGTACCCAGTTTTAGGGAACAATACAATTTTCAGAAAGTACTTCAATTTCCACTAAGAGTTGACAAAAGCAGATATTATTTTCTCAAAGATTGTAGCTTTAAAAAATGCAATTGATATTCAACAAAGACAGCAAAATATGAAAAAAAGCAATCTGGTTCTTTCCACAGAACTCCAAAGATGGTGAAAGGAACCTCATTTATATTTCCTTACCTAACAAGAAAACAGGTACTTATCCATGATATTATTTGCCTTTCTAAATTGCCAAACTGTACAAAACAAGCAAACAAAATACAGGATTTATGCTGCTCATCATCTTATTTACTAAAGATATTTATCTAACTTTTCCATCTACTGCCACACATTACCATATATCTAATATGAGAAAGGTGTGTTCATTGAGTCAGGGTAGGATAGGAGTAGGTCATAATTTTATTTAAAAAATTAAGTTCAAATAATATGTAATCATCTTTATATTTAATGTAACACAATTGCTTGTCTTTATTTTTTCATAGCTCACTCTGAGATTGCTGTCACTATAATTTTCATTGTAAAAACTATTTTCTTTCTTTTCTTTTTTCAAAAAACATTGGGGCTTACGATTTTTTTTAACTAATAATGATTATCTTAGGTTATCATGCCCTCCATCTCCTGCTCTACTATATTTTAAATCTGTGGGTTATTGGGGGATATTTAGATATATATTTATTCGATTATACATATGTTAATTTGTATTATGTGCTATACCATATTTCCTAGTTTCTGTGGCTTGCATGTTCAGAAAAGTTTTAAATCACAGCCAGAAATCCACGTATATCTCATGTTTAGTGTATTCATTTTGTCTCTATGTTATTGTGTAACAAGGTGACTTTTAATCATTTCTTTAATCTACAGTATCCTTTTACCCAAAAAGTAGCTTTTACTAATTTTCATTATACAAAACCAATATGAAGGACCACATTTTCTCCCAATTTGTTCAGATTTCCTCAAACTCCCCTAAGATTTTGTATGATAAAACAAACTTAACGTTCACATTCAAGTTAGCATTTCTCAATTATATTGAGAATAAAACTATGGGAAGATTAATGTTTTAATAAAGTTTATATAAAAATAATTTATTTAAAATGTTATTAAATTCGTTGTGAAAAATAGATAAGTAATCCAAAACAATAGCATACCAATTACCCAAGTTTAGTCATGAATTGGGGGAGGGGAGAAGAACTGCCCTAAGTTGCAAGTATTACATCCTACTTGACCTGTGACTCCCCTAGGCATCATTATGGTCCTAACAAAGAAGTTAATTCATAGTCAGAATAATGTATGTGTACACATGTAAAAAAAACCTCTTTCAAGTAAGGCATTGTCACAATTAAAACAAATAACAAGAAGAAGAAAACTCACAATGTACTTGATGTTTTAGAACTACTTCTAGGCAGCAAAGACACATTGAATCACTTAATCTTCAGTCATCCTTCCCAACAATTCTGCAATGACATGTTGGTTCTGGATATTAGAACAAACAGTTTTAGATAACTTACACTATTTGCCTAAAATAACCTTTCAAATATGACATAAATTAAGATATAGTGTAGAATATATCTATATCCATATATTTCCTGATATTTTTTGCTTTGTAAATATAAATAATTGCCACTGTCATCTGTTATGCTGCTCTTACTCATATGCCTAATATCTGTCAACTCTATTAAAGTCTCAGCTGTACCACCCGAAGAGATAAGGGTATTCACAGGATGATGTTTTGAAGCAGGTGGTTTTATGCATTTTTGGAATCTGTGACAGAAATTTTTTATATAACTAAAATTGTATTATGTCACAATTTTAATCTATAAATATGACCAAGCTCTAAAAACATAGTACAATAATTGTTCATATATCAGATATCCACGGTATTAACAATGTTTTTAACTTTAAAATTTTTCTTTATATATCTATACAGACATGAATATCTGTATCTCTTTCTCTCTCTCTCATATGATTCTATCTGTTCATCCATAATCTATCTATCTACCCATTAACTATCTATCTATCATCTGTCTATTCATGTATCTCATCAGAGTTTCTCAACCTTAGCACTATTGATATTTGGGGTTGGGTATTGCGATGGGCTGAGTATTGATTATAGTGGAATGTTTAGCAGCTTACTGGCTTCTAACCTTTAGATGCAACAGTGGCCCACCTCCAAATTGTGATAAATAAAATGTCTCTAGACATTAGAAAATGTTTTTGGGTGAGTAAAATCAAAAGCAACTGAAAACTGCTGATCTGCCTTATCTCTTTCTTAAATTATTTAAACATGTTTTTATTTGTGAGAGGTATGTTTTCAAATGTCGCAAATTGTGAAATTTAGGTATATCTTCTGTTAGCTTTGCATACTAAAAAATTTCTCAGGTGATGATAGAGGAAAGCTATTGACAATGCCGATGTCTCTATCAGAATAGGTTTTCTGATGAACCTGGATGGAACAACACAATCTAACAACGGTGAATGAATTCATTCTTACGGGAATCACAGATATCGCTGAGCTGCAGGCACCATTATTTGCATTGTTCCTCATGATCTATGTGATCTCAGTGATGGGCAATTTGGGCATGATTGTCCTCACCAAGTTGGACTCCAGGTTGCAAACCCCTATGTACTTTTTTCTCAGACATCTGGCTTTCATGGATCTTGGTTATTCAACAACTGTGGGACCCAAAATGTTAGTAAATTTTGTTGTGGATAAGAATATAATTTCTTATTATTTTTGTGCAACACAGCTAGCTTTCTTTCTTGTGTTCATTGGTAGTGAACTTTTTATTCTCTCAGCCATGTCCTACGACCTCTATGTGGCCATCTGTAACCCTCTGCTATACACAGTAATCATGTCACGAAGGGTATGTCAGGTGCTGGTAGCAATCCCTTACCTCTATTGCACATTCATTTCTCTTCTAGTCACCATAAAGATTTTTACTTTATCCTTCTGTGGCTACAACGTCATTAGTCATTTCTACTGTGACAGTCTCCCTTTGTTACCTTTGCTTTGTTCAAATACACATGAAATTGAATTGATAATTCTGATCTTTGCAGCTATTGATTTGATTTCATCTCTTCTGATAGTTCTTTTATCTTACCTGCTCATCCTTGTAGCCATTCTCAGGATGAATTCTGCTGGCAGACAAAAGGCTTTTTCTACCTGTGGAGCCCACCTGACAGTGGTCATAGTGTTCTATGGGACTTTGCTTTTCATGTACGTGCAGCCCAAGTCCAGTCATTCCTTTGACACTGATAAAGTGGCTTCCATATTTTACACCCTGGTTATCCCCATGTTGAATCCCTTGATCTATAGTTTACGAAACAAAGATGTAAAATATGCCCTACGAAGGACATGGAATAACTTATGTAATATTTTTGTTTAAATTTTGTACAATATGATTCCTATAAATTAGGTTATGGGCATGAATTTTTGCTCTGCATACTTCCAGAAGACATAACAAGCATAACTGATTCAACATATATTTACATATGTCTCATACATGATAGGCTCTTCTAATTGCTATACATAGATTAATAAACAAAATAGTAGAAATCTTTGCCTTCCTTGATGGATAGATGAATTGTATTCACAATAAGTCCATTTTATATAACAGTAGAATGTGCACGATGGATATAGACAAAGAAAAAAGGGAGACAAGGAAAGCTAGTATGCTGGGTGGCAGTAGGAAACAGTGGTCATTACAGAAGGGAGTTACGAGGATTCCAGTGTTTTTTATCTGCTACTGGAATAAAATTTACAGTGTGTGTGCTTCTGTATGTTTCTGTTTGTGTGTTTTTGTGTATATAAGCATTTTCCTTCTGTTTTAGCCTTCATACTTTTTGCTTGTATATTCTGACATTGCATTTAATACTGGTTGTTTAGATGATATGTGATGATTTTAAGTCTTACAGATGTGCTCGAATAATTACTATTCCGAATATTAGGATCCTACTATTTCCTTATCAATGTTTTTATTTCCACATAGAAGTCTGTTAACCGAACATACTTTGTAGCTCAATAATCGGTAAATTCTGATTAGCACCTGATTTTGTTTCAGTTAGCCCATTCTGTTTACATGAGTAGATATATCAATTATGCTTAAGTTTAGAAGACATCCATAGAAATTCTCAGGTTTATTCTTTCTCTCTAGTTGTTCTTGCTTAATAACTGCCTTTTTCACAGATTTTCCCGTTATTTATCTAAAAAAAAGTAATAAACTGTGGTTAAAATTTGTGTTCCAGTTGTTTTTACATCTTTGAGGAGGGGGACCATTCTATGATGAATTAACTTTGTAGTCTCTCACTGAGTTGACAATCCATAATTTTTATCAATATGCACTATATCGAATGCACTATATTTTCATTTACTTCACTGTTTGATTGCATCAGTTGATTTTTCTACTTGTACAAAGCAAATAAAAGTAATAAAATGCACTACACCATACTGTATCTATCTGCTGGCTATTACAGATGTCCTTTGACAGTTACAGACCTTCACCATGCAAGTGAGGTCTGATCTGTATGCAATGATATCGTTATCTTGCCTTTTAAACATGGTTGCTTTCCTTAACTCCATATGTTTTCTTATGTATTTTGATTTCCTTTATTCTTTTTAATAATCCTAAGAATTTATTGAAAGTATCAGAGTCTACAATATTTTCTTGGTTCACCATCATAAAATAAAATCCCATGTGCAGCCAAAGAAACACTAATGAATATATCTCATTGGAATAAATTAAACATTGCATAGCACATTGTCATGTGAGGATAAATATTACCATATTGTTGCTGTACTGAAAATGAATCTTTAAGATGGTCATAGAAATTACCAGGTAGTAATAATATCTCACACTTACTATTATATTATAGAGATTCTACATGTCTCAATTAATTTAGCCATCACAACAGCTCTTTGAGGTAGGTTCTATTAAAAGTTCCATTTTTAGGATGATAAAGTAGAGCCTAGATACAGTAAGTAAGTTGTCAGAGATCACCAAGGTAATGAGTATTAGAATCAGGTTTTGTTGTATTTTTGCTCGTTCGTTTTAACAGATAGAATCTCCCTTTGTTGGCCAGGTTGGAGTGAAGTGGCATAACCATAGCTCATTGCAGCCTCAAATTCCTGAGCTCGAGGAATCCTCTCACCTCAGCCTCCTAAATAGCTGGGACTACAGCCATGAGCCACCAATGCCCGGCCTATTTTTGTATTTTTCATGGAGACAGGGTTTTGCCATGTTGCCCAGGCTGGTATCAAACTCCTGAGCTCCAAGTGATCCACCAACCTCAGCCTCCCAAAGTGCTGGGACTTACAGGCATGAGCCACAATGCCTGGCTCTATATTCTCTTTCTCTTTCTCTTTCTTTCTCTGTCTCTGTCTCTGTCTGTCTGTCTCTCTCTCTCTCTCTCATTTTTTTAAGACAGGGTCTGGCTCTGTTGCCCAGGCTGGAGTGCAGTGGCGTGATTTCAGCTCACTGAAACCTCCGCCTCCTGGGTTCAAGCAATTCTTGCGCCTCAGCCTCCCAAGTATCTGAGACTACAGGCATGTGCCACCATGCCCAGATAATTTTGTATTTTTAGAAGAGGCGGGGTTTTGCCACATTAGCCAGCCTGGGCTTGAACTCCCTAGCCTCAAGTGATCGGCCTGCCTCAGCCTCCCAAAGTGCTGGGATTAAGGGCATGAGCCACTGCGTCCAGCCCTATTTTGTCTCTTAATGTCATTTGTATGCTTCACTGATGTTACCCTGAGATGTGACAGAGCAAAACCTCACTTTGGCAGATTTGGTATTAGAAGAGAAAAAGAGCAGAGGGGTCAATTACAGGAAGAATACATGCTGGGGATCCATTGTACCACATGGTGATTGTAGTTTATAATACTGAACTTTTTACTTGAAATTTGATGGAAGAACAGATTCCAAATGTCTTCACCACACATACACACACATACACACATAAACACATGCACACACATATGCAGGGTGAACTATAGGTGGTAACAGATGTGCTAATTAATGTTATTTTAGTAATCCTTAAACAACATAGTCATATATAAAATTATCACACTGTGCACCTTGAAAATATATTTTTGTCAATGAAATATTTTCAAATAAGAAAATAAATGAAAGCAGTGAACTATGTGACACATAAAATTAATTTACAAAATACATAATCAAAAAGAAAATTGACTCAGAAATGTAAACTTATCAGTCCATTTTGACATTTTGAAAGAGTGTTTATGCTCAAGTAGAAAGCCATCAAAAAGTAGAGTTTGAGTAGAGTTGTAATAAATTGCAGAGGATGAGGATAGCAGAAATTAGCATTAAGTAGTCAGTAATATGCTGAAGACAAATAAATAATCAGGCAGATTTTCTTTATTTCTATCCTAATAAGTTCAACCATCTTTGAGAAAGAAAGATTGAGGTTGTTTTCTTAATAGGGGAAGGGACCCTCCTAGGAAAAGATGAGGAAGGACGATGACAATTTGGCAAATCCTCAGACTCCCTGGACACAGAGTAAATTACTATTGAGCTGAACAGGCATGCCACAAGGTAGAGAAGTTTCAGACATCATGAAACAGGAGGAACTATATTCTAATTTCCAGTATATGTGATTGATGCATCTTGGAACAATGAGGACCACATCGTTCACAGTGGCATATAGTGTTTTCCCCATTTTCCAGTATGTCATATTTGAGCATAGGTTGACATCATGTTTAGTTAATCTTACCTTTATAAGTTCCCTGATGAGGATGAAAGTATTTGTATATTCTTTAAGTCCCAGCTAAAACACTAGGACACATGATATAATATATGAAATAATAATAACAGGTACTTGTGGCCTGTGGGGGTCAGATTTAGATCTCAAAGAAATTGCCTAACATTCTGCCCCAGAAAACAACATTTAAAATAAAAAAAAAAAAATCAATCCCAAAATTATCAGAAGGAAACAAAAAAGATCAGAACAGAAATAAATACAGTAAAGAATAGAAAAATATAGAAAAAATAACAAAAAGAAGAGTTGGCATTTTGAAAAAATAAAATTGGCAAACTTTCAGCTTGGCTAACCAAGAGGGAAGAGTAAAATAAAATTATAAGTGAAAGTGGAACCATTACAACTGATATCTCAGAAATAAAATGGATGAGGGACTATTACGAACAATCATATGCCAATAAATTGAATAATTGAGGAAATGAATAAATTCCTAGCAAAATACAATCTACCAATATTAAATCAGACATAAATAAAGAGCCTGAAAAAACCCAACAAATATAGAGATTGAAGTAGTGATATGGTTTGGGTCTGTTTCCCCACCCAAATCTCATCTTGAATTGTAATCCCTACATGTCAAGGGAGGAACCTGGTGGGAGGCGATTGGGTCACGGGGGTGGTTTTTTCATCCTGTTTTTATGATAATGAGTGAGTTCTCAGGAGGTATAATGGTTTAAATAAAAGTGGGGCACTTTCCCTTGCCCCCAATGTCTCTCTTCTGCTGCCTTATAAAAAAAGGTGCTTGCTTCTCCTTTGCTTTCTACCATGTGTTAGGCCTCTGAGACCATGCTAAGCCATCATATCCCCTGTCACCTGCAGGTATAAATCCAGATGGCCTAAAGCAACTGAAAAACCACAAAACAAGTAAAAATAGCCAGTTCCTGACTTAATTGATGACATTCCACCATTGTGATTTGTTTCTGCCCCACCCTGACTAATCAATTAACCTTGCGACATTCCTTCTCCTGGACAATAAGTCTCTGGAGCTCCCCACCGAGCACCTTGTGACCCCCACCCCTGCCCACAAGAGAACAGCCACCTTTAACTGTAATTTTCCACTACCTACCCAAATCCTATAAAACTTCCCTACCCCTATCACCCTTTGCTGACTCCTTTTTCAGACTCAGTCTGCCTGCACCAAGGTGATTAAAAAGCTTTATTGCTCATACAAAGCCTGTTTGGTGGTCTCTTCACACAGATGCACATAACACCATGATTGTAAGTTTTCTGAGGCTTCCTCAGCCATGTGAAACTGTGAGTCGATTAACTTCTTTACTTTTAAATTACTCAGTCTCAGGTAATTCTTTAAAGTAGTTTGAAAACAGATTAATACAGAAGATTGGTAGTGAGAGAAGTGGAGCATTGCTATAAGGATACCTGAAAACGTGGAAGCAACTTTGGAACTAAGTAATGGGCAGAGGTTGGAATGGATTGGAGGGCTCAGAAGAAGACAAGACGACGTGGGAAAATCTGGAACTTCCTAGAGACTTGTTGAATGGTTTTGACCAAAATGCTGATGGAGATATGGACAATGAGGTCCAGGTTGAGATGGTCTCAGATGGAGATGAGAAACTTATTGGAAAATGGAGCAAACGTCACTCTTGCTATGCTTTAGCAAAGAGACAAGTGGCATTTTACCCCTGCCCTGGAGATCTGTAGAACTTTGAACTTGAGAGAGATAATTTAGTCTATCTGATGGAAGACATTTCTAAGCACCAATGTGTTCAAGATGTGACCAGACATTTTGTAAAAGTGTACGTTTATATGTATGAAGAAAGAAATGATCTAAAATTAAAAATTATGTTTAAAAGGGTAGCAGAGCATGAGTTCGGAAAACTTGCAGCCTGACCATGCTGTAGAAAAGAAAAACCCATTTTCTGAGGAGAAAGTTAAGCCTGCTGCAGAAATTTGCATAAGTGACTAGGAGCCAAATGTGAATAGCACAGACAATGGGGAAAGTGTCTCCAGGGTATTTTATAGATCTTCATGGCAGTCCCTCCCATTACAGGCCCAGAGGCCTAGGAGGGTAAAATCATTTCCTGGGCCAGGCCCAGGGCCCCATCACTGCTCTGTGCATCCTTGGGACTTGGCGCCCTGCATCCCAGCTGCTACAGCTTCAGCCATGGCTAAAAGGTGCCAAGGTGCAGCTCAGGCCATTGCTTCTGAGGGGGCAAATCCCAGGCCTTGATGGCTTCCACCTGGTGTTGGGCCTATGAACCTGGAAAAGCTGCAGGCACTCAATGCCAGTCCATGAAAGCAGCTGCAGGGGCCCTACCCTGCAGAGCCACAGGGCCTTGGGAGCCCACCCCTTACATCAGCATTCCCAGGATATGAGACATTGAGTCAAAGTATATTATTTTGGAGCTTTAAGATTTAATGACTTCCCCACTGGATTTCATTCTTGTACAGAGCCTGTAGCCCCTTTGTGTTGGCCAATTTTTCCCATTTGGAATGAGGACATTTACCTAATTCCTGTACTCTCATTGTATCTTGGAAGTAACTAATTTGTTTTTGATTTTCCAGGCTCATAGAGAGAAGGGATTTTTGCCTCAGATGAGACCCTGGACTGTTGACTTTTCAGTTAATGCTGAAATGAGTTAAGACTTCGGGGGACTGTTGGGAAGGCACGATTGGTTTTAAAATCTAAAAAGGACATGAGCTTTGGGAGGGATAAGGGCAGAATGATATCTTTTGGCTCTGTGTCCCTACTGTAATCTCATCTTGAATTGCAATCCTTATGTGTCATGGGAGGAACCTGGTAGGAGGTGATTGGATCATGGGGAAGGTTTCCCCCATGCTGTTCTCTTCATAGTGAATGAGTTCTCCCCAACCACTGCTGCCTTGTAAAGAAGGTCCTTTCTTCTCCTTTGCCTTCTACCACAATTGTAAGTTTTCCTGAGGCCTCCTCAGCCAGGCAGAACAGTGAGTCAATTAACCTCTTTCCTTTATAAATTATTCAATCTCAGGTAAGGTTCTTTAGAGCAGTATGAAAACAAACTAATACAAATGGTAATTAAAAACCTCCCAACAAGGAAAGCTGTGGGTCAGATGTCTTCATGGTTGAATTCTACCAAACATTTACAGAATCATTACACATCATTCTAAAACTCTTTCAAAAAATACAAGTACAGTAGTCCACTTAATCCATAGAAGATAACTTCCTAGACTCCCAGTAAATGCCTGAAACCACAGATAGTACTGAACCTGATTGCTATAAATCAGAACATGTTTCTGTCTACCTCCCATACATTTAGTGGCTCTTTTATCTTAACTAAGCATTTCTCTTGATACATTTGGCTGTGTCCCAACCCAAATATCGTCTTGAATTGTAGCTCTCATAATTCCCACATGTTGTGGGAGGGACCTGGTGGGAGACAATTGAATAATGGGGGTGGTTTCCCACACTGTTCTCATGGTAGTGAATAAGTCTCTTGAGATCTCATGGTTTTATAAGGGAAATCACTTTTGCTTAGTTCGTATTCCCTCGTCTTCTGCTACGTAAAATGTACCTTTTGTCTTCCACCATAATTGTGAGGCCTCCCCAGCCACATGGGACTGTAAGCCCATTAAACCTCTTTTTCTTTATAAATTACCCAGTCTTGAGTGTGTCTTTATCAGCAGTATGAAAAGGAACTAATACAGTAAATTGGTTCCAGTAGAGTGGGGCACTGCTGTAAAGATACCCAAAAATGTGGGAGCAACTTTGGAACTGGGTAACAGGCAGAGGCTGGAACAGTTTGGATGGCTTAGAATAAGACAGGAAAATGTGGGAAGGTTTGGAACTTCCTGGAGATTTGTTGAATGGCTTTGATCAAGATGCTGATAATGATATAGACAATGAAATCCAGGCTGAGGTGGTCTCAGATGGAGATGAGGTACTTGTTGGGAACTGGAGTAAAGGTGACCCTTGCTATGTTTTAGCAAAGAGACTGGCAGCATTTTGCCCCTGCTTTAGAGATTTGTGGAACTTTGAACTTGAGGGAAATGATTTACGGTACCTTCAGAAGAAATTTCTGAGCAGTAAAGCATTCAAGAGGTGACTTGGGTGCTGTTAAAAGCATTCAGTTTTAAAAGGGAAACAGCATAAAAGCTCAGAAAATTTTCACCCTGACAATGGGATAGAAAAGAAAAACCCACTTTCTGAGGAGAAATTCAAGAAGGCTGAAGAAATTTGCATAATTAATTAGGGGTCAAATGTTAATCACCAAGACAATGGGGAAAATATTTCCAGAGTATCAGAGACCTTTGTGGGAGACCCTCTCTTCACAGGACCAGAGAGTTAGGAGAAAAAAGTGGTTTCCTGGGTTGGGCCCAGGCCTCCTGGCTGTGTAAAGCCTAGGGACTTGGTGCCTTATGTCCCAGCCATTCTAGTCATGGCTAAAAGGGCCCAAGGTACAGCTCAGACCATGGCTTCAGAGGGTGCAAACTCCAAGCCTTGGCATATCATCTCTGCTAATCAGAGTTCTCTGGACTAATATGGTGTTAGAGAGCATTAAATCCTATGAATTGAACAGATGACCTATACCTATTTGTTTTGTGAGAGTTGAATGTGATGTTTAGATATTTCAAGTAAAGAGGAAGTTAAAATCACCTAAAAAATTTATAAGTAAGCTCATCTGTTAGACTGCATCAAGGTTAGAATTTTTAGAGAAAATACAGGTGATGATATCCAGGTTTGAAAAATAACAAATATTATATTAATATATAATTTGATATTTTTAAAAGAATATTTTATAACTATTTCTATGGCAATAGTTTACAAACTAAGAATAATTTTAATTTAAGGAAACCAAATGCAAAAACTTAAAATATTTTTAGTTCTTTCTTTTTCCTCCTGGGCTTCTTCTGTTTTTGAGAGGTTTTGTTTTGTTTTTTTTTAACAATGGGCATTAGAATCATTTAGTAGACTGAAATAAATAGAATGGCTTTTAAGACTTATGAAGTTACTGAGAAAACCCTGAACCTCAAAAAATTTCTAACTGATATTACTGTGCTGAAGATAGAAAACTCAGTCATTTGCATACTTTTTGTATTATTTCTGTCCTAATGTTTAGCCCTACATTGTTACATTTAAAATATAAACATTAAAATATTAAAAGGAGAGCAGAGATATCCTTTTCCATGCAAGAATCATGTACAAAGTGAAAGAGTTCATACCTCTTCAAAAGGAGATAACTGACACTGGATATGAAGACAGACTTAAACACAAGAAGAATCGTTGGGGTGATCAGACCCAACACCAGGTCGTGGGAGGGACAAAGTCCAGTGGAGTCAAAGGAATGAGAAAAAGACAGTTTGAGAGAGAAAGTGGGACCAGGGGCCCATTGTTGAGTGTGGAGGCTGCGAAAGCCCCAAGCTCTGGGAGCCCATGCTATATATTGGTGCTCAAACAAACACGTAGTGAGGATGTGGGGGTTGAAAGGAAACAGTGGATCAAGTGAATGAGAAACACATGGCTGCTTGAGATAATGGGAGTGCTAGAAGCAAGGAGCCAGCAAGTCTAGCAGACGTGCAAGCCCTGCCTCAGCTTCTCTCCCAATACTCAGCTTTTCTCCCAACATGCCCCACTTCTTTTTTGTAAAAACTGCCCCAGCTATCATTATTAGCATAAGGTGGCCTCTTTAAATTGAGCAAGGCAATTGCAGGCTGTGCAGCCCTTAATTGCCACTTGGTGATCCAGCTTCATTTTTCTTAGCCCTTATTCAAAATGGAGTTGCTCTGATTTGAATGCTTCCTACATATCTCCCCTTTCCCTTTTACAAGAGGACCCTTAATCCTAGGGGTTGCAGAAGGATGAAGGTCTGTCTTCTGTAACTTCTTCATGTTGAATAGGGGTGATCATACTCCTGCCTACCTATTAGGGTCTCTTGTATTCAGGGTAGAGAGGAGTTCAGTCAGAAAGCACTGGTCCATTAAGCATCTATAGGTAAAACCCTGGTGCTCCAGCAGTTTCTCAGCATGGCTCGTACTGGGGGAACCCAGGCCATGGTTGGGATCCATGGGTCCTTCCATTCTCCTGTTCCATGGTCAAACACATCTTGAGGGCATCTACATGGTTTGTTCATCTCCTGCAAAAACACAAGCATATCCTCACCCCCACGTTAGTAAATGCACTGAAACACAAGCAAAAGCATTTGTGGCTGTAGCTGGGAGGCATGCCATTGCTGAAGCATTTGTAACTCAGCTTCTGCCCTTTGGTTAATTATCATGGGGGTAAAACTTGCCATTGATAATGAGAAGCAGGCTTTTTCTGATTAACAGAAAGCATAGAAAAAGCAAATCGAGGCTTATCCTTCTTGTGCAACAGTATAGCAAAAAAGTAATCCTTAAGCCTTCAATTTGCACTGTACAGGTGGGTCCACTAGATGCTGTGGTTCATGATAGATCTTCAGATGTTTGGTGGGCACCCACACAGGCACCTGATTGTCACGTGGAGAGACACAAGCAAATCCTCTTACCATAAAATTATCTTTCCTTTTTCCCAGCTCTTTGTATGTGCATCCCTCTACCATACATCTTGTCCAGCCTTTTTATTTTCCTTTTGTCCTGTCAAGTGTTGTTCAGCTGCAGACATGGGTTGATCTTGCTGAATTTTTTCCTCAATTAATTGATGTTCCTCCCATGCTTTTTTGGACATGAAGCGTTTACTGTTAAGGTTAGAATCACCTTGTAAAGTAAAAAAAGAGGTGAGACATAGCATAGGCAGGAATGTCTAAAGTTGGACAAATCCAATTAATGTCTCCTAATAACTTTTGGAAATCATTTAAGGTTTCTAAATTATCTTTTTGAATTTGAACCTTTTGAAGCTTAATAGCACTTTGCTTTACCTTCATTCCAAGATAATGAAAGGGAGTAGAAGTTTTGATTTTATTGGGGGCTATAATTAACCCTGCCGCATTTACAGTCTTTTATAACTGTTTGTAGCACAACATCAATTCTTCCCTAGTCTCAGCTGTACACAGAATATCATCCATGTAATGGATGATATAACATTTTTTAAACTGTCTTCTAACTGGCTTAATAGCTTTCCCACATAAGTTTGACAAATAGTCGGGCTATTTAGCGTGCCTTGTGGTAATACTTTCCAATGGTAGCTGTCCACTGGTTCTTCATTATTTATGGTGGGAACAATAAAAGCAAATTTTTCATAATTTTGGGCAGCTAAAGGAATGGTAAAAAAAAGCAATCCTTTAGATCTATCACTATGAGAGGTCACTATTTTGGTATCATTGCTGGGGAGGGCAGCCCTGGTTGTAGAACACCCATGGGTTGAATCACAGCATTAGCAGCCCTTAAATCTGTTAACATTCTCCATTTCCCTGATTTTTTCTTAATGAAAAATACAATAGAATTCCAAGGGGAGAAAGTAGGCTGTATATATCCCTTTTGCAATTGTTCCTGCACCAGTTCTTTTAAAGCCTCCAGTTTTTCCTGTTTCAGTGGCCATTGCTCCACCCAAACCGGTTTGATAGCCAAACAAGAGGATTGGGAGCTGGAGGCTCAACAATGGTCGCTCCTAAAAATGACACCCCAATTCGGTCTGATCTGTTTGCCCTTTTAATTCTAAAGGTTCTGATTGGCCATTTTTATATTGTCCTAGTCCTTTTCCCAGGTGATATCCCATGTTTTTCATCATTTGTCTGCTATGATTACTATACTGATCCATAGGAATAGGTATTTCAGCATCCCATTGTTGCAATAAGTCTCTACCCCATAAATTGATAGGAATAGGTGTAATGATAGGTTGGATTGTCCCTTCCTGACCATTCGTCCTTTGACATGGTAAAATCAAGGAACTCTGAAAAACTTCTGAGGCAGCTCCTACTCCAACAATACCAGTGGATGCCTTTTGCTTAGGCCAGTGCTGGGGCCATTGATTTATAGCAATAATAGAGACATCAGCTCCAGTATCTACTAGTCCTTCAAAATCTTTTCCCTGAACAGTTACTGTGCAAATAGGTCTTTTGTCAGACACTTGATTAACCCAATACACAGCCTTTCCTGCTGGATTATTATTACCAAAGCCTCCTGTTCTTTTCACTGTGCTGCTTCCTAGTTTTATATAAGGTAACAGCAACAACTGAGCAATTCTTTCTCTTGGGGAGGCAGAACACGGAGAGGAACTAATAACTAATTGAATCTCTCCAGTATAATCAGAGTCAATTATTCCCATATGTACAGTAGCACCTTTTAAATTCAGACTAGACCTTCCAAGTAATAGGCCAACTGTTCCTCAGGGTGAGGGTCCCCTAACTCCTGTGGGTACCTTCTTTGGTGGCTCCCCAGGAAGTGTGAACTAAAAGATGAGTTACATAGATATTTACAATACACAACTGGACATTTTCCATTATTTTGGGATAAACTAAAATAAATTTTAAAGTTTCATTTGGAGATTTCAAAGCTGAAGATGCTTTCAGCAAATTCTTAGATCTTAAGAAAATGCCTTAGATCTTAAGAATATATTGTTCATTGTTTATAAAATCATTTGCCTTTTTTATCTAAAAATTTTAATACCTGAATTTAACAGGTTTTTCTTCTGGACAAGTTCTTTGACATTTAAGTAAAATCAATACTTTCAGAGTAATCATCTGCATCACACTGGAGTGACTGCTTTAATTTCTAAATCATCAATTAGTGTAGCCCAGGGATACTGATGGCCTTGATACATAATTTAGTCTTGTCATTATAGCGTGTGGAAATCAGGGCTTTGGGGGCATCATCTGACCCCATTTCTTTTTACCACAGTGGTTCCTGCCACAATATCATAGGCTGATCGATTATGCTGAAAAAACAGCAGTGTGATGCAAGCAGGGAAAAAAGAAGCAATTGAAAAATTCTTGATCAAAGCTCATGTAGTGGACATTGTAATGCTAACGTTTGAGGAAAGAATCACTAAAACCCGACTTAGTGCAATAAGCACTAATGTATCACATGTCACAACTCGAAGCCCCACCAGGAACTTCCCTGGGGTAGCTCCACCTGCTCCCCAGATGCAAATTATCTCATAGAAACAAACTAATAGTCTGCATCATTTTCTGCAAGTCTTCCACTGATGTGTCTTTATCTATTTTTTCCATTACATAATGCATAGCAAACTTAGAGATATCCTTTATCCCACTGAGGTGCATAATGCTTAAGACAATGGTTGCTTTTACAAAGAAAAGAATAAAGAAACTCACCATCCTGGGCCAAGGATGGAATAACATATTCTCCGCCTGCCTGTTGCCCGGTCTCACTCAGGCTTCACGAAGGGGCTGCTGATCCTACCTTCGTCACTGGAGTGGCCCAGACTGATGCCTGCACATGAGAAGCCCGGGGTCCCAGGCCAGTTACTGGAGCCTGGGTGCTGATGCCAGCAGCTGTACCCGGGTCAGGGCCGGCGGCCCAGGACTCAGGAAGTAGAAGGGGTTGTAATAGCCCAGCCACTGGGACAGCAGCGCTGTCCGAAGGGAAGCTCTGCGGGGACTGCTGGGGACTGCAGCAAGCCGGGAAGGCGGCCTGGCCAGCGGTGCCAGGTGAGGTAGCCACAGCAGGACTGATACAGCCACTCGCGCACTTGCCGGGAGCACTCGGTCTCTCCCGCGGGGCTGTGCCTTGGGCACTTCGGCAGCCCAGCACGGAGCCGGAAGCAGCCTCCCCGCGCTTCCTGAGCTCACCGGGGCGGCTCTGATTTGTCAGGCACAGCCATGAGGCCCGGGCTGTGGGCTGGCCAGGGGCATGGGGTTTGGCCTGGGGGTCGTCATGGGGGCATGGGACGGTGGCGGCAGGAGGGCCTCTCAGGGTAGGGAGGGACTCGTGGCCCCCTCCACCCTCGTCGTGCCCAGGAGGGCGGCCTTGGGCTTCCTCGGGCCCCTCTGCCATTGTCGCCTCAGCAGGACCCAGCACCCCCCGCCGTACCTGTCACTGCTCCGTCTTTATACACCTTTTTGAAAAAATCTCTTCCAATTCTCTCCCATTCATCCAACTCCATAGTCCCCTGTTCCGGGAACCATGGGCAAAACAGCTTTACTGTACTAAAAAGTGATAACAAACTGAGTACCAACTTTTACTCCCCCACTTCATAATAAATGCTTTAAAAAATTTAAATAAGCAGAATGTCTGCATTCACTTTGTCCCATTGTTACCCTGGTTCTTCCCAGCGCTCAGCTTTCCCGCCGAACTTCTTTTAGACGACCTCGGGTGTCCTTTGATGAGGCGTCCTCTGCTTTCACACGCTCTAGCGTTCCTTCACCAGGGTTGCCCCACATTGGGCACCAGGAATGTTGGGGTGCTCAGACCCAACATCAGGTCTTGGGGGCAATGAAGTCCGGCGGAGTCAAAGGAATGAGAAAAAGACAGTTTGAGAGAGAAATTGGGACCAGGGGGCCATCACAAGTGTGGAGGCTGCAAAGTCCCCAAGCTCTGGGAGGCCATGCTACTTATTGGTGCTCAAACAAACAGTTGATGGGGATGTGGGGATTGAAAGGAAACAGTGTATGAAGTGAATGAGAAACATTTGGCTGCTTGAGATAACAAGAGTTCTAGAAGCAAGGAGCCAGCAAGTCTAGCAGACACGCAAGCCCTGCCTCAGCTTCTCTCTCAACACTCAGCTTTTCTCCGAACAAAGGACTATTGGTAAAATTTAAACATTTCAAAGCAGTGACACTGTGGCTGCAATACTGAATTCCTTTGTTCAGTCCACTGCATCTCCTATTCTACAATAAAACCCTTTGAAGGCATACCCTGACATCTGGTAAGTTCAAAAGAATGTTTTCAAAAATGCTGGACTTACGGTTCTTACTTGTAAGGGAGGAAAGAGCCAGAAAGACAGAATGGAATTCAGTGAAGAAAGAACAAACAGTTTCATCTGGGAAGAATGGTTTCAGACAGCTTACCAATCTCCAGTCTTGCTCTCCTCCCCTGTCCTTACTTCCTGAGTCAGAACAGCAAGATCTACACATAAAACTAATCAGTTGCTGCTAACTTCCACAAGGTGAGAGTGCTCTAACTCCTCTAACCTATAGGTTTGGACCTTAAGGTGGGCTCCCAGAAGGTTCTACTTGATAGTTGTGTGGGTTAAACCTGACATTCCATGAAGTTATAACTAAATTCTGTATTTTATTTGACTGAATATTTTAAAATGCAACTACTGCTCGAATTGAAATTCATGCTTGCAGAGTTCCATGTTTTCACTGAAGAGAAACTGAATGGTAGAAGAGGAGAGACAAAGAGATTAGGCTAAAGCAGATTTTACTAACTTTAATCAGACCTGTTCCACTTTTTTTTGCTCATGTCCCACATTAATTAGATTAAATAGAGGACCAGTACTTATCACTGAAATGTTTGAAAATCACAGTGTAATGATCTGTATTCTATGGGGCAATATTAGAAATAAACGGTAATTTATATGTGATGTAATAAATGCTCAATGCTTTTAAATGCCCTCTAAACTCTGTTATTTTCACAGTGATATCTTAAAGGAAATAAAACTTATAAAATTAAATATTCATAATCCCTCTGTATTGACATAAAACAAATATTTTAGTAGGAATAGATGCACATGTTGGTAATCATTAAGCTTATATTAGTTTGGGAGTTTTTCTTTTTTCTTAAAAAATAAAATTACACATTTAAGTTGAAATATATGTAAATATTTAAAAGAAAAAATAATACAAATTTTGTCATAAACCAAAGGTCAAAAAATCATAAAATCTATAAATATTATTTTATTAATGAAATTCCAGACAAATCTCTGCACATTTGGTGGTAAGGGTGTTCTTAGTGATCATTCCTACACCAAAAGAGATAGCATTATTTAATAATGTCATTGATTTTGAGCCATATAAATATACCCATTAAACATCAAAGTATCATTAACTCAATCCTTTGTTAGCTGGGTCCTAAAAATGCCTGCAGATATGCTAATGCACTGTTTTGTCAGATAAAGTGTGATGAAGTGGAAGTCAGAATATTAATGGAAAGTGGCCTTAGTTGGTCATGGTTAAAATATCTTTGCTTACAGAATTTTCACAAAGACATATTACTTGTGAGTTTATTGTTAAATCCCTACCCAGAAAGTGCAAGTGAGGGAAACTAAAATTTAAACAACAGTAGCTTCATGCTATCTCTATCTCACTTTTTAATAATAGCACAATTCCACAAGAATTCTTTGGAAAATATGGAAGTATACTAGAAAAAAAAAACTGTGACGCCACTGTGTGGGTGAAATAAAGTCTAACATTTCCATATTAATAACTATATAATTTTGTTATCAATTGATGTGTTCCAAACATTATTGATATTTACAGTTTAACTTACCTCATAATTATATGTGTATTTAATATGGGTCCCTTCTTTTGATAGAAGTTTTCTTGTTTTTTTTTTTTTTAGTTTTAGGATCAGATGTAGAAATAATGTTTATTACCTATCGTGAATAACACCTTTTGTCTACAAATGTTATAATTTGTTTAGATGACATTACATAAAATCTTTTAACAACTGTTCTGTTTCTTCCTGGAAGAGATAACTGGACTAAATGGGCCAAAAGAATCTAACAGTGCTTACTGAATTAATTCTGATGGAAATCACAAGGCGGCTTGAGCTGCAGCTCTCCCTTTTTTGGGTCTTCCTCATCATCTGCACATTCACAGTGGTGAGCAAAGAGTGCATAATCATTTTGAACAATGTGGACTTGGGTCTACACAACATTTGTGTATTTTTTAAATCAGGTACCTGAATTTTATTAATCTTGGTAATTCTATGGTCATTTATCCCAAGATACTGGTAAACTTTGTTGTGGCTCAAAATGCCATTCCCTGTTATGCATGTACCATGCAGATGGCTTTCTTCATTATGTTCATTATCTGTGAACTTTTCGTCTCATCAGCCATGGCCTATGACCACTATGTGGACATCCATAGCCTTCTGCCATAAAATGTTATGTCTCAGGAACTTTGTCATGTGCTGGTGGTATTCCATACCTTTATAGTACCTTTCAAGCTCTGATGGTCACTATAAAGATTTTTATATTGGCCTTCTATGGCTCCAATGTCATAAGTTATTTCTACTGTTAAGATGTTTCTTTGTTAGCCATGGTGGACTCAAATGCATGAGGAATAGAAATGTTGATCACACTATTTTCAGTACTTAATTTGATATTCTTTCTTCTGGTAGTCCTAATGTCCTCCATGCTGATTCTATTAACTGTTTGTTGAATGCATTCTGCAGAGAGCAGTAAAAAACTTTCTTCACGTATGTTTCTTGTCTGATAGTGGTGGTTGTGTTCTGTGGGTTTCTATACTTTATGTACTTGCAGCTCAAATTCAGTTCCTTTTTTTTTGATAATAATAAAATGACCTCCATGTTTTCCTCTTTAGTGATTACCATGCTTTACCATTTGGTCTGTAGTGTAAAGAACAAAGGGAGTAAAAAAAATGCCTTCTATAGTTTTTTTATGAAGCAGTGAAAACTTTGTAATTTAATGGTCAATATGGAATATTGTTCTAGGAAGCTATGATAGAGGCAAATGTCACTAATGAATATTTCTAGTACATATAAATACATTATTTTGGGCTCCACAGCAAAAACTGGGTATAACACACACAAATAGGTTTTTCCTTTTCTTTAGGCAAACCAATCTTCAAGTTTTATATCTCAATTAAATGTGAAGTTCTTATCAACGTCTCTTGCTTCTGATTCAATGTTTTCTTTAGTTATTGTATAGAAGCTCATATTCCTTGCCATATAAACACTTATTAAACTCTACATCAATAAAATATGTGTTCATTTCTTTAATTTTTTTTAGAAAAGGTATCTTCTCAATATTATTTTCAAAAACTAAAGCAACAATTTAAATTATGAGAATAATCTGCAGGAAGCATATATTTGGGTGATTTTTATTAAATTAATTCTGGCAATTTCTGCCTCTTAAATGGATAATGTAATTCATTTACACTTAAAGTAACTACAGATACTGATTAGTCAGGAGAGGGGCAAAATGATTGATCAGACAAGCCAAGAAGTTCTGCTCCCGTTGGGAGAAACTAAATTATGAGTAAACCAACATAATATGAACAGATCTTCAGAGAGAAAACACCAAGAGTGAATGGAGAAGTAATGCAGGCTCTGAGGTTGAAGATAAAAGAAGCTGGAAACCCTGAGTGGAATACTTGAATGCTAGAGCTAGCTCCAAGTCACCAAATAGCTCCTGGGGAATGGATGAGAGAAAGGACTGTGGAATGGCTCACTCTCACTGTGAACCTCTGAAATCCTAGCTACAGGCAACCCCATCTCATGATGAACATTTGAGCTGGCAGGAGAATCTATCCAGACAGTAGACAGAGACAAGGCTTCATTGGAGTGGAGCTGGGGGCCTTTGTGCATGGAAGAGCTCCAGTGGAACATGGCCATATGTGTCCATCCCCTAGGGCTCTAAATCTCCCTTTGGGAAGCTCTATCCCCAGCTGACTGCTAGGCTCGGAGAAAGCAGAGACAACTTCCCCTTGGAAATGGGGCCTATCTGTTCTGCAGAAATTTCCTGCCTTCTAGCCCCTCCCATGGCCCCTGCCTGGCTACCCCACAGAAGTGTATGCACAGTGCAAACTCTGTTGCCCAGGCTGGATGTTTTGCTCTACTTCAGTATGTAACTGGTGGGGTGGGAGCATTTTGGATTCTCTAGCACACTCAGAACCCAATCCCTAAGGTACAGAGAATTAAGCTGTGAACCAGTTCTGGTGCCCCAGGGCTATGGCATGCAGGTTGGGAGCACCAATCCAAGATCTGTGGCTTGTACTTGTCTGGGAGAGGACCCTACATTCTCAGAGGACTGAGAGGGTTGAGATGCACAAGTTCATAATCTGGCATGGTGTCTTCTGCAGAGCTGGTCTTGAAAGGAGGTGGACTACCTCCCTAATAAAGCTTCTGCCCAAGGGAGTCCTGTGGCCTGGAACACCTAACAAAAGAAATGCAGGTGTGGTTCCAATAATCAGAAGGGGCTCCTCTAAGGTCCAGGAGTGAAGCTAGTGAGAGGGGTCACTTCTCTTCCCTCCACACAGCAGGCACACACAAGAAAATACAAAAGAAGCCATGCAGCTGAGTCAGAGCTTATCTACTGGCCATTACTCCTAAGCATCATCTCCTGGATAGCAGCTCAAACTACAACACCAAAAATATTTTGCTATTATACCCTCCTGTGAAACAAAGGGCAAGCATATAGCCACAAATAAAGACTCTGTACAGAGCCTTGGCCCTCTGAAAACATCTAGAAACAAAGCCAACCGACTATACTCAATTTACATCACAATTAAAGGAACAACAGTCTTCCCAGATGAGAAAGAATTAGCACAAGAACTCTAGGAATTCAAAAAGCCAGAGTGTACCCTTACCTTAAAGTGAGCCCACTAGATTTCCAGGAATGGTTCTTAACCAGTCAGAAATGAATGAAATGACATGCATAGAATTCAGAATCTGGGTAGCAATAAAGATGATCAGGATTCAGAAGAAATTTAAAACCCAATCTAAGGAATCCAAGAAATTCAGTAAAATGGTTCAAGAGGTGATGCAGACATTTTAAGAAAGAACTAATGTGAAGTATTAACAGCAGAATAGATCGAGCTGAGGAAAGCATCTTAGAGCTCAAAAACCAGTTCTTCCAATCAACTCAGTCTGAAAAGAAAAGAAAAATAATTTTTTTTTTGAGACGGAGTCTTGCTCTGTCGCCCAGGCTGGAGTGCAGTGGCACAATCTCAGCTCACTGCAAGCTCCGCCTCCCGGGTTCATGCCATTCTCCTGCCTCAGCCTCCTGAGTACCTGTGACTACAGGCGCTTGCCACCATGCCAGGCTAATTTTTTGTATTTTTAGTAGAGACGGGGTTTCACTGTGTTAGCCAGGATGGTCTTGATCTCCTGACCTCGTGATCCACCCGCCTCGGCCTCCCAAAGTGCTGGGATTATAGGCATGAGCCACTGCACCCGGCCCAGAAAAGAAAAATAATTTTAAAAATAAACAAAACCTCTAAGAAATATTCCTATATTTCTTAGCTACAACTTGTTAGCTTTCCTGAGAAAGAAGGAGAAGGAATAAGCAACTTGGAAAATACATAAGAGGACATAGTCCACAAAAATTACCCTAAACTCGGTAGAGAGATTGATATGCAAATTCAAGAAATACAGAGAGCACCAGATAGATACTGTACAAGAAAACCATCCCAAAGGCTCATAGCCATAAGATTCACCAAGGTCAATGCAAAAGGAAATAAATCTTAAAGGCAGCCGGAGAAAAGGGTCAGATAACATGCAAAGAGAACCTTATCCGCCTACCAACGGACCTCTCAGCAGAAATCTTAAAGGCCAGAAGAAATTGGCACCTATTTTCAGCAGTCTCCAAAAAAAGAAATTCCAACCAAGATTTCATATTTCACCAAACTAACTTCAGAAGTGATTGAGTGATAAAATCTTTCTCAGACAAGGGAATTTGTTTCAACTAGACCAGGCTTACAAAAAGTCTTCAAGGAGGTCCTAAACATGGAATCAAAATAAGGACACTTATTGCACTTAAGCAAAAATGCACTTAAGCATACAGCCCACAGACACTATAAAACAACTACACAATCAAGTCTACATAACTACCAGCTAAAAGCACAATGACAGATTAAAATCTCACATTTCAATACTAATACTAAATGTAAATGGGCAAGCTGAATACAAAGACAGACTCAACCATCTCCTACTTTTAAGAGACCTATCTCACATGTATTAACACCCACAGGCTCAAAGTAAAGGGACAAAGAAAGAGCTACCATGCAAATGAAAAAAAAAAAAAAAAAGAGAAGGAGTCACTGTTCTTGTATCAGATAAAATAGACTAAAACAATAACAAGGACAGAGACAGATATTACATAATGATGAAGTATACAATCCAATAAGAAGACTTAACTATCCTAAACAAATATGCAGTCAACTTTGGAGAACTGAGATTCATAGAACAAGTTGTACTTGATCTATGAAAATATTTAGCCACAAGATAATAGTGGGAGACTTCAACTTCCCACTGATGGCATTAGACAGATCTTTGAGGCAGAAACCTAACAAAGAAACTCTGGGCTTAAACTTGACACTTGACCAACTAAATCTAATAGACATCTACAGAACACTCTGCCCAACAACCACAGAATAGACATTCTTCTCATTGACCATATGTTCAGTAATAAAGCAAGTCTCTACAAATTAGAAAAATCAAAATCATACCAAGCACACTTTCACACCACAATGCAATAAAAATAGAAATTAATATCAAGGACATCCCTCAAAATAAAAAAAATGACGATTAAACAATTTTGTTCTGAATAACTCTTAGGTTAACATCAAAATTAAAATTAAGGCATAAATTTTAAAAATGCTTTTCAAGTAATGAAAATAGGGAGACAACTTACCAAAATATCTGGGATATAGCTAAAGCAGTATTAAGAGGAAAGTTTATAGTGCTAAATACCTTCAATAAGAAGTTAAAAGATCTCAAACTAAAAGTCTAATTTTGCACCTACAAGTACTAGGGAAAAACAAACAAACAAACAAAAAACAGAACAAATCAACTCCAAAGCTAGCAGGAGAAAATGTAGAGTAGAACTGAACAAAGTTGAGACACAAAAATTTACACAAAAGATCAATTAAACCAAGTGTTGATTCTTTGAAAAATTAAACAAGATTGATAGACCATTAGCTAGATCAGAGATAAAAATTTGATATTACATTGTTCCCATAAAATACAAAACATCCTCAGAGAAAACTATGAACTCAATGCACACAAATTAGAAAATCTAGATGAAATGAATAAATTCCTGGAAACACACAATATCCCAAGGTTGAATTAGGACTATATTAAAACCCTGACTAGACAAATTTTTAGTTCTAAAACTGAATCAGTAATAAAAAAAAAAAAAACCTGCCAACCAAAAAAAAAAAAAAAAAAAGCCCTGGATTAGATGAATTCACAGCCTAATCCTACCAGGTGTACAAAGATCTGGTACCAATTCAACTGAAAATAATACAAAAAATTGAGGAGGAGAGACTCCTCCTTAACTCATTCTATGAATGCAGCATCTTCCTGATGCCAAAATCTGGCAGAGACACAGCAAAAAAAGAAAACTTCAGTCCAATATTCTTGATTAGTATAGATGCAAAAATCCTCAAAAAATATTAGCAAATTGAATCTAGCAGCATATCAAAAAGTTAAAACCTCATAATCAAGTAGGCGTTACTCCTGGGATGCAAGGCTATTTCAACACATGCAAATCAATATATATGATTCAACACACAACCAGAATTAAAAACAAAAACATACAATCATCTCAATATATGTAGAAAATGCCTTTTATAAAATCCAATATCCCTTCAGGATAAAAACCCTCAACAGACTAGGCATTGAAGGAATGTACCCGAAAATAATAAAAGCCATCTGTGATAAACCCACAGCCACATCATACTGAAAAAGCAAAAGCTGGAACCATTTCCCCTGAGAACTGGAATAAAACAGGGATGCCCACTCTAACCACACCAATTTAACATAGCACTAGAAGTTCTAGCTGGAGTAACCAGGCAAGAACACCAACAAAAAAAAAGGCATAAAAGTAGAAATAGAAAAAGTCAAACTATCTCTTTTCACTGATTATATGATTCTGTATGTAGAAAACCCTAAAGCTTCCACCAAAAGCCTCCTAAATGTCCAAGCTAAGAGTCAAATCAAGAACACAATCCCATTTACAGTATCCACAAAGAAAAAAATACCAAGGAATCAGCTAATGAAGGAGGTAAAAGAACTCTACAAAGAGAACTACAAAACACTCATGAAACGAATCAGAGACGACACAAACAAATGGAAATACATTGCAAGCTCATGGACAGGAAGAATCAATATTGTTAAAGTGACCATATTGTCAAAGTAATTTATGGATTCAATGCTACTCATATCAAAATACTAACATCATTCTTCATAGAATTAGAACAAAATATTCAAAAAAAAATCTAAAATTCATATGAAGTCAAAAAAGAGCCAAAATACACAAAGCAATCCTAAGCAAAAAGAACAAAGATCACTCAACTGAACTTCAAACTATAATGTAAGGCTACAGTAATCTAAAAAAGCATGATACTGTCACACACACAGATCACTGGAACAAAAGAGAAAACTCAGAAATAAAGCCATACAACTACAACCATGTGATCTTTGACAAGGCTGACCAAAAAAAAAAAAAAAGATGAGGAAAGGACTCACTATTCAATAAATAGTTCTGGGATAACTGGCTAACCATATGCAGAATATTGAAACTGTACTCACTACTTTTCACCATATGCAAAAATTAACTCAAGAGGGATGAAAGATTTAAATGTAAAATTTCATACTATAAAAATCCTGGAAGATAACCTGGGAAATAACCTTTTGACCTCAGCCTTGGAAATTAATTTTTGGATAAGTCTGCAAAAGCAATTGCAACAAAAACAAAAATTTGACAAGTGAGACCTAATTAAACTAAATTGCTTGTGCACAGCAAAATAAACTGTCAACAGTATAAACAGACAATCTTCAGAATTGGAGAAAATATTCATAAACTGCATCTGATGAAGGTTTAATACACAGACTCTATAAAGAACTTAAACCAACCATCAATCAAAAAACAACCCCATTAAAAAATGGGCCAAGGACATGAACAGGCACTTTTCAAAAGAAGACATACAAGTGGCCAACAAACAGATAAAAAATGCTAATCATTACTAATCATCAGAAATGCCAATCAAAATCACAACAAGATACCATCTGACACCAGTAAGAATGGCCATTACTAAAAAACAAAACAAAACAAAACAAAAAAACAGAGGCTGGCAAGTCTGCCAAGAAAAGAAAATGCTTATACACTGCTGATGGGAATGTAAATTATTTCAGCCACTGTGGAAAGCAGTTTGGAGATTTCCCAAAAACTTAAAACAGAGCTACCATTTGACCCAGCAATTCCATTACCAGCTATACATTCAAAAGGAAAATGAATCATTCCACCAAAAAGACACGTGCACAAGTATGTTCATCATCACACTATTCACAATAGCAAAGGCATGAAATCAACATACGTTCCCATCAATGGTGGATTGGATAAAGAAAATAAGGTACATATACACCCTGGAGTACTATGCAGCCATAAAAAAGAACAAAATCATGTTCTTTGCCACAACATGATGCAGCTAGAGGCCATAATTAAAACAGAATCAGAAAACAAAATACTACGTGTTCTCACTTTTAAGTGGGAGCTTAAACATAAACATAGGAAAGATAGGCACTGTGGACTACAAGAAGGGGGACAAGGGTGTCTGTTGAAAAACTACTTATTGAGTACTATGCTTGCTTATGTGAGTGAAGGGACCCATACCCCAAACCCCAGCATCATGCAATATACCCATGTATCAATCCTGCACATGTATCTCTGTATCTAAAATAAAACTTGAAAGTTAAAAAAAAAAAGTAATTACAGATGTTGGAAGACATACTTTCTACTTATTGCCATTTTTTTCTTAGATGTAATATTTTTGTTATTATTTTTCATCCTTTCCTCCATTTCAAGTTCTCTTTGAGTTTGTGTTTGAACTCTAAATTATGCATGGCTATATCAAATGTCCATAAGGCTTTTCAAAGAATGACCTAAGAATTTTAAGCTGAACAATTCATAGGTATCACACTGAGAAGGAAGACATTCTAGTTACAAAAAAGCTGGAACGTATCATCCTTGATCAACAACTGGGCACCCACTAGAGATTTCAGAGGCAAATGTTACTCCAAATGCTTCTGAGGGCTTAAATCTTTGTTTAAAACATTTAATATTCTTTCAAAAAACAATGCAAAAATATACAGCACTGATTAACACAAAATTCACAATATTCAGCATCCAATCACAAATACTAGGCATTTGAGAAAGCAGGAATATGTGGCCCTATCTTGGAGATAATTCAAGTAGATATTGAAAAGGTATAATGATAGAATTAGCAAGCAAGGGCTTTAAGACAACTGTTATAAATATGTTTAGTAAACTAAATGATTTAACAAAAACATTAACATAGTGAGAAAAAAATGAAGATTTATGAAACAACAGATATGGGGCTTCTAGACATAAATATACAGTATTGGATATAAAAAATATATATTGAGTGAGAACAATGGCAGATTATGAACTGAACAAAAGATGACTTAAACAGTCAACAATGAAGACTACTGAAAATAAAGCCAGAGTAAAAATATACTGAACGAAAACCATGAAAATAGTCTTAGTGATTTGTAGAACAATAACAAGTTATTTAAGTCATGTTTAATTTTAAGTCTAAGTGTAAAGAAGAGATTATATAGTGCAGAAAATACACAGTAAAAAATATTGGCCAGAATTTTCTTCTAAATGTATTTAAAAAAAACCAAAATCCTAGACATACAAAAAGCTAAAATAATTCCAAGTAGGGTAAATTGAAAGGAAATTATGCTAAAATGCATTATAGTCAAATTTCTGAAAACCAATAACAAAGAAAAATTCTTAAAAACAGCCAGAGATAAATGATACATCATAAACAAATGAAGAAATTATTTGCCACTGATTTCTTGACATAAACAATACAATTAATAAAATATTATCTTCTCTCAGCTTAATATAGTTTATAAGAAATTGTTTTATGTCAGTTTATAATCATATATTCAACAAAATATATGTGGTCAATGGATGTATTATCAAATATTATATAACTTTTTTCAAGAAAGTCATTATTTCACTTACTTGTGACTTGTTGGGGATTATATATGTAATATTTGCATGCAATGCTGAAAATGGCATTTGTGATTTCCAGTCTTTAGTGATATTGCATAATTTATTTTTTCAGTTAGACAAAGGCATAAGTATTTACGACTTTTTCTTAATGGAACATTCGGAGAATAATCAACAGATATTCAAGGCACTTTCCCTCAGGTAATTACGTAGAATTTGTTTAACCTTGGGTCAGATTAACATTTCAACACAATGAGTCTCAAGGGAGGAGAAAAAATTTAAATCCATTCGGTAGCCACCTATGAGGCCTAAAGCAGTAGAAAGCAAAGCAAATTCTCCATTGAGGTAAGCGGAAACATTGGTCTTAGAAAATTTCTAAGGGTACATCCTTAAAGCAGGTTGTCACCAAAAATCTGGAAGGGTCCCATTCTCTGCAAAACTGTTGCCTCCCTTGCAATATACTGTTCTGTCATCAATAGGACAGATGTGCAGACAGACCTGTTATACAGTCTCCAATACTCGAGGCTGGTCATTATTTATGCCACCTTAGCTTTCAAATTACTTCATGCTTCAGTCATCTATTTTAACAAAGATCTTTATCATTATTTACCTTGTGTCTTTCCTGTCTCATTCTCACTTCCTAACAATGAAGGGTATCCCTAATGGAGAAGTGGTGTGTTAGAGTGTTTATGAGAACATATTCTGAAGGCAGAATGGCTTTACTTGAATCCTTACACTACAACTTATAATGTGAAAGATCTTTGTTAAATTATCCAACTCTTTGTGCCTCAGTTTCTTTTTCTTTTAAATGGGGATGATATTACTGCCTACTTCCTAAAGTTATTGTGTAGATCATATGAGTTAATATGTGTAAAGCACTTGCAAAATTGCCTAGCATGCTATGGATTTGCTTAGGTTCTTGATATTCATTTGTGTTTCTCTATCCACTGAGCCCTTTTTTATGATTCTCTCTTAAATGTTCATGAATTGTAAGAACAGCCAGATTTTTTTTTTCCTGCAGAAGGATGTATAATTGGGGGATTATACATCCCCCCAATTGCTCACTAGAAGCAGCAATTCAATAGGCAAAAAGTTCAAATGCAGATTAAGATATTATTAACAAAATTCTCAAATTATGGCATAAAATTTTGTTTTTGGTAAACAAGTTGAATTTATAGACAGAAGTATTGACATGTATATAATGATCAGAGATTTCCTACTGCCCTATTCATTACTCCATCTATAGTTTTGAAAATCTTGTCTTGCTTCTTTCAATGATCAGCAAAAATGTAAAGTTTAATGTATAGATGTTTGTTTTACAAATTACCTGAAAATTGTGGTAAGCAGAAACAAAAGTGGTAGCTATTTTTACATAATTAAAATGACTCTGGGTCCAAAAAGTAGGTCATAGTAGCTACATCAAAACAACAACTTCAAAATATCTTGCCCCTTTTAATTATACTTTACCACAGTTTTAATGAATGTGACTGTAGCTTTGTGTGGTTTTGACCTGATGGGAAGAGGAGACTCTATTTAGAATTTGAAATAAAGGAAATACCTCTATTGCTCATACATCAAATTGTTAATTTTCTTAGAAGATAATGTTTCAAATATAATAAATATTGATTTTCTAGTTTGCACAGTTACCAAGATGAATCATGTGGTAAAACACAATCACACGGCAGTGACCAAGGTGACTGAATTTATTCTCATGGGGATTACAGACAACCCTGGGCTGCAGGCTCCACTGTTTGGACTCTTCCTCATCATATATCTGGTCACAGTGATAGGCAATCTGGGCATGGTTATCTTGACCTACTTGGACTCCAAGCTACACACCCCCATGTACTTTTTCCTTAGACATTTGTCAATCACTGATCTTGGTTACTCCACTGTCATTGCCCCGAAGATGTTAGTAAACTTCATAGTGCACAAAAACACAATTTCTTACAATTGGTATGCCACTCAGCTAGCATTCTTTGAGATTTTCATCATCTCTGAGCTCTTTATTCTATCAGCAATGGCCTATGATCGCTACGTAGCCATCTGTAAACCTCTTCTGTACGTGATCATCATGGCAGAGAAAGTACTTTGGGTGCTGGTAATTGTTCCCTATCTCTATAGCACGTTTGTGTCACTATTTCTCACAATTAAGTTATTTAAACTGTCCTTCTGTGGCTCAAACATAATCAGCTATTTTTACTGTGACTGTATCCCTCTGATGTCCATACTCTGTTCTGACACAAATGAATTAGAATTAATAATTTTGATCTTCTCAGGCTGTAATTTGCTCTTCTCCCTCTCAATTGTTCTCATATCCTACATGTTTATTCTAGTGGCCATTCTCAGAATGAACTCAAGGAAAGGGAGGTACAAAGCCTTCTCCACCTGTAGCTCTCATCTGACAGTGGTGATCATGTTCTATGGGACATTGTTATTTATTTACTTGCAACCCAAGTCCAGTCATACTTTGGCTATTGATAAAATGGCCTCAGTGTTTTATACCCTGTTGATTCCTATGCTGAATCCGTTGATCTACAGCCTAAGGAACAAAGAAGTAAAAGATGCTCTAAAGAGAACTTTAACCAATCGATTCAAAATTCCCATTTAATATCTTAATACTCAGTTGCATAGTTGGGTACAATAATCTGTTTAGTACTCTGTCAAACCAATTATAACATAAAAAAAGTAGAAATACTCTATCTGCTTAGATTTTCCTCTTTTTCTGGACAAAACATGTCCTCTTAGAGCAACCTGTACTCTTTGCCACCTCAATGGAATAAATAAATACTATATTCAGGTAATATATGTCCTAAGCAATTTTCGAAATCATACTGGAACCGCTACTATTTATAAATAAGGCAAATTATGTCAAACTTAGAGTTGCAGAGTTAAAATGAAAAGCTTATATAGTTCAAACAGAGTAAAAATAACCGGAAAATTAGTAATAGATATTTCCCAGCAGGCACTAGGTATTAAATGTAAATAAGATTGAACCATAGAGAACATGTAGGCTAGATAGGAAGCAAGAAAGTAAGTAAATATGTGATTATAACATAACATGAAAAGGCTGTTTATTTAGCCTGACCAACTTGGTGAAACCCCGTCTCTACTGAAAATACAAAAATTAGCCAGGCACAGTAGCATTCACCTATAGTCCCAGCTATTCGGGAGACTGAGACAGGAGAATTGCTTGAACCCGGGAGGCGGAGGTTGCAGTGAGCTGAGATCACGCCACTGCACTCTCCAGCCTGGGCGACAGAGCCTGACTCCATCTCAAAAAAAAAAAAAAAAGAAAAGAAAGAAAAGAAAAGGCTGTGTAAACATTAAAGCTAAGAACACAATAAAGTATGCTATCTCAGAATGAGGTTTTTCAATCAGATGAAGTTAGTATTGTATATCTTAGGGATAAAGTAGGTTTTTGATTAGGAATGATGAGAAAAATATTGGATTATTCTAGATCCTCCTTGACAGATTCTAGCACTATTGCAAACACTGGTTTATGAGAACTTCCTGATAAGCTGATTTAGAATTGGCAACCTGAAGATAAATAAGTTATCTCGTCATCTACTGTAATGGTAGCAATATAGAATTTTGAAAAATGTATGGAGATAATAACACAGATTAAAAAAACTTACACACTCGAGGGTTAGTTTCATCTTCATTCCTGTCTTCTTTGTCTCCTTCATGAGCCTGTCTACACAGTGGCATGGAATGTATTCTACCATAATGCTGCATCTACATTGTGTACTCTCACTCAGCAAATAAATTCCTTACATCTTGGTATTCTTCCATTGTTTCGACGGGCCTCTATTTTTTTCGATTTTAAAAATATATACACTTTTCTAATTGTGTCTGTTCCAATTTAATCTAGTGTTCAAAGTAAAAATTGTGAGGAATTGAATCAGAAAATGAACCAAAGTGTCTTTATCCAGATCCATTTCTTTCATTTTTTCCTCTTCTTTCACTTATGATGTATTTTACTTCATCTAAACATAAACTGAACATAATAACAGTAATACAAAATTGCATTACCCAATCATATCAAATTTGTTTACTTCTGATTTTGATAACATCTGATCCTGCTCATAACCATATTGATTTTTAGGAATCAATTTTACATTTCCACTGTAACATTTTTATTTTTTGAGACTAAGTCTCGCTCTGTAGAGCAGGCTGGAGTGCAGTGGTGCGATCTCAGCTCACTGCAACCTCCGCCTCCCGGGTTCAAGCTATTCTCCTGCCTCATCCTCCCGAGTAGCTGGGACTACAGGTGCACACTGCCACGCCCAGCTAATTTTTTGTATTTTAGTAGAGACCAAGTTTCACCGTGTTGCCCAGGCTGGTTGTGAACTCCTTAGCTCAGGCAATCCACCCACCTTGGCCTCCCAAAGTGTTGAGATTACAGGTGTGAACAACTGTGCCCGGCCTCATAGTAGAATTTTATATTATAATGCACAAATATAACTCTTTGGTTTTGTATATTTTCCCTTCCCAAATTCTACAATTTCTATCCCTTTCTATAATCCACAACTAAAATTAAATAATATTAATAGCATTCTGTAATACCATCCACACAAGAAGGGCTTTTAAAAAATCATGCTATATTATGTTCCCTGCAATTTTTTTTTTACTTTAGAATTCATCAGCAGAATTTTTCTTGACCAATAAAAATTCTTTTTAAAAAATTTTTAATATCAGCATACAACTCTGGAAAATAGACAAATCACGTTGTACTTAGCCATTCCTTGATTGATGAACTTTGGTTGTTGACAGTTTAAGTTATTTAAACTGCCACCTAAAACATATGCTGTAATAAATATTTTATGATTATAAAATAAAGTACTGGTAATTTCTATTTCTCAAATAAATGTATATGGTTATTCCACATTCTAATAATGTGTTGTTGGGTAAATATTTTGCATACATAAATTATAATTTTAAAATATTTTAATGAGAATAAATGCCATGCAATGTTATTTTTTTCTAAGTGGTGTTTCCTCTTTTGTTCATTTTTTTAATGAAATACTAACGTTTTAAGAATGAAGTACTAACATTTTTATGAATACTAACATTTACTAATATAATTGTGTGATTAAAAAATGCAGAATGACAATAATAGGTGTCTAAAATCAGCTATTTGATGTCATAGATAAAATATAGATGGTTTTCAAACATTACATTCTTTTCTACAAAAAGTTTATAATATTCCAGACTTAGTTGGACACCGTTGTTTTCCCTAATAACCACAAAACACACATTCTGCTTACAATTATAATCATGAGTAGTTGAAAAATAATGCTGCCAACCTATATAAAATTCCTTTAGTATTTATACATTCTCAAACTTCTTCCCAGAGTTAAAACCTTGAGCTTTATTTGATTTATTATCATTCCATGTCTAATTAATGACTTGGTACACCAAAAGCTTTTACCAAGGATATTTTAATATATCTGTACTTACTAATGTTTACATGACAAGAGTTGAAAGGTCCTAATGACTGGATTGTATCTCAGGATACATACAATTATTATTTTTTTAATATATGTACACAGTTTTATATATAATGCAGCATCAAATATGGGGCATTTTCTCCTATTTTACACACTCAGATATGTTTAAAACACTTCTTAAGGCTACAAAACAGAACATAGAAAAACAAATAAGAATATCTTCAACACTTACAAAAAGTGATATGATAAAGAATATAAAGTACTAGTTTTCTTTCAACACTTCAAACATACGTATATATACTTTTTTTACAAATAACATCACAAATGATCACATATTCACATGCTTTTAAATATTATTTATACTCAATTTGAGGCTATTATCATTTTTGATACATAAAATTTTTGTAGCTCTGAAACAATGCAAAATTTTTAATCCATTTCAGTAAGTAAGTAATTTTAATAACTACCACCAAAGGTGACTGTTTTAAGAGTGGACAGGTGTAGACCTACCCTCATGGCATAAAAGTAAGGTTCCCCATATCCGGCTTTAGATCTGCTTCTATATGACACAGAAAAAATTCAGGATAGCCAAAATAATCTTGAGAAACAACAAAGTTAGAGCACTCACAATAGCTACTCCATGGCCTCCTATAAACCTCCAGTACTGGAGATAATGCAGCACTTTATAAACATAGATAAATAGATTCATGGTACAGAATAGAGCCCAAAACACATGTACATATGGATGTTTGATTGATTATCTACGAAAAAGCCCACTTAATTTATATGGGACCTTAGACACATATAAATATCACCTACAAGGCTGTAACTAAAAGGCAATCAAACAAAAATAGGATAAAATATATTTCATATAGTAAGTATTAATGGTCAATATGCACATGATAAAGAAGCCCAACATCCTCAGCTATCGAGGAAATGGAATTACAGTAACAATGGGATACTATTTTCCATTAACTAGTTTGAGTAAAATTTAAAATATTTCATTACTAAGGAGTGAGTGTCAACTTGATCAAGAGTATTAGCTCCTGAAATTATCTTACTTGCTGATTACCATGTACAATGGTTCTTCACTTTGGAGAACAGTGTGGTGGTTTATAAATAAGGTTAAATGCATTACTACCACATGTTTCCAGAGTTCACCTTCTGGATGTTTATCAAAGGGGAATGAAAACATGTCTAAAAAATGTGTACATTCGTGTTATTGATAGCTCTATTCAAAATAGTATAAAATGGAAATATTTCAACTGTTTGTAAACAAAAATGTACATTGTGCTATATTCCTAAAATAGAATACTACTCAGCAATAAAACGGAATGAGCTATTGCTATATACAGGAGCACAGATGAATTTCAATAGCATTAACCAGACACAACCTACAATATTATTCCTTTAACATGAAGTTCTAGAACAGGTAAACTAATATATGGTGATAAAAACCATAGCAATTTCGAGCATGTGAATTCCAATGAACTAAGGTTTTGCTACCAATGTCAGCCATTTACTCTCCCACTAATTGGGATTACTTTTTAAAAGAGGTCTTTTGCCCTGACATACAAGCTTTAGAAAATCTTAGAAGAGGGGTGGTTGCATGTCTTAATGCTGGGAAGCAGCAACTTTGGGTGGAACTTACTGAAATGGATTAAAAATTTTGCATTGTTTCAGAGCTACAAAAATTTTATGTATCAAAAATAATAATAGCCTCAAAATGAGTATAAATAATATGTAAATCATGTGAATATGTGATCATTTGTGATGTTATTTGTAAAAAAATAGTATATATACATAGTTTGAAGTGTTGAAAGAAAACTAGTACTTTATATTCTTTATCATATCACTTTTTGTAAGTGTTGAATGTATTCTTATTTGTTTTTCTATGTTCTGTTTTGTAGCCTTAAGAAGTGTTTTAAACATATCTGAGTGTGTAAAATAGGAGAAAATGCCCCATATTTGATGCTGCGTTGTATATAAAACTGTGTACATATATTAAAAAAATAATAACAATTGTATCCTGAGATATAATATGGAGGAATTTACTGCAAAGAGACATTGGGGAACATTTCGGGATTATTAAAATACATTATTTAAATGTTAACTCTATATAGTTGGCATTTTATTGTATGTAAATTATTGAACTTTTAACATAAACCAATATAATATGGCCCTTTTATTTATTTTTCTAAGTTTATTGAGTTATAATAGGCACAACAAATTGTATATATGTAAGGTGTACAACATGACAATTTTTTATTTTGTTTTATTTATTTATTTATTTATTTATTTATTTATTTATTTATTTATTTATTGTAGACATGGGCGTCTTGCTATGTTGACCAGGCTAGTCTTGAACTCCTGGGCTCAAGCCATCCTCCTGCCTCAGGCTCCCAAAGTGCTGAGATTACAGGCGTGAGCCACTGCACTTGGCATCGTGATGTTTTCATAAACATATATATTATGAAATTATTACCAAGATGAAGCTAATTTACATATCTATTATCTCATGTAGTTAAGTTTTGTGTGTGTGGTAAGAACATTTAAGACCTACTGTGTCAGCAATTTTCAAGTACACAATACAGTCTTGTTAACTACAATCACCATGCTGGACATTAGATCTCCAGAACTTATTTATCCTCCATAATTTACATTTTACACTTAACTTACATAATTTACATTACACACTTACATTTAACATACTACATTACATAACTTACACTTTATACTCTTTGATCAACATCTCCAAGTGGCTGCTACTCCTCATCCCCAGCAACCACTTCTACTGTCTGCTTCTATGAGTTTGATTGTTTTAGATTCCACATAAAAGTGTGACCATAAAGTAAAACATTACCCTTTTAATACTATCTTTAGTATTAAGCCTCTCAGAAGCTTTCCTCAAATTTCTATATAATTTACATAAATAAAATTTGTAAAGAATATATGATTATATACTAAACATATCCCAGAGTTTACTTAACAAATTTCTAAACTGTGTAGTTTTCAGTATTTTATCTCACTGAAAAAATAATCTTATGAAGACTTTATTTATATATTTAAGTAACTCATATTACTTCTGTAGAACAGATTTCCAGAAGCGGGTTTTCCTCCCAATGAAGATTCCATCTTTTCAGCTGTTTTGGGCCTAACATAAGAGGTTTAGAATAATTATGTTCCTCTGTTCATGACAAATTTTCATTATTCAGCCAGCAAAACCTCTTTCTTATTCATGTTTTATTCTTTCTTGTTATGGACTGGATGGTCTATCTCAAAATTCATACGTTAAAGCCTTAATCACTAGTGCCTCAGAATGTGACTGTATTTGGACACAGAGCCTTTAAAAAGGCAATTAATTTAATTAGGGTCATTTAGCTGGGTCCTAATTCAATACAACTGGCATCCTGATAAGAAGAGAGATTAGGACAGAGAGAAGGAGATATACCAGGCACATAAACAGACTGAGGGACAACTATGTGAGGACACAGTGAAAAGGTGGCCCTCTGCAAGCCCAGGTGAGGGCCCCAGAAAAAACCAAACCTGCTGAGACCTTGAGCTTGAACTTCTATCCTTCAGTACTGTGAGAAAACAAATTTCCACTGTTTAAGCCACTCAGTCTGTGGTATTTTGTTATGATAGTCTTCAGTGTACCTTTCATCTTAATTTCTTTACCCAGTCCCAACCACCACCATCGGGAAACTGCCACAAAATAACTCAATGTAAATCTGTTTGTTTTCTTGTGCTCTTACAAAGCATACAATAGTTTTCTATGTCATGGATTTATACTGTACATAAATGTCATCATGCTGTATAACTCCATTTTCTGCTTTAATTTAAGGCCTGTAGAAGCAGATCTTTGGATCTACAAAGGGGACTTAATTCCTAAATATGATAATTTCCCCAAGGCATATTCCTTTCTAAACAATTCCATTAGTCATTACATGGATAAAAATGCATACATGCTAAATGTTTAGTGTTTCAAAAAATGCCTTTGTTCATCAGGGAATTTATGTTTTATACTTTGAAATAAGAGTTAAAGGGAGACAACACAGATAGTGACATAATAAATATATTATTTATAGATAACAGGTTTTGTAAAGCTGTGATACCATCAGCTTCTAGCTCTTACATATCTCATCTTGCAATAATGAATCTCCGAATGGAAGTGAATTACTTTAAAAGATGCAGTTTAACCCCCATGTCCCTTAGCTGTAATGAACTTGAACTCACTTCAATAATACAAAATAAACACAGACTACCAGAAAGACTCATGGGGTGTCTGATTGACTTTCTAGAGGGAGACCTTGTTAAGAAACCGGTCCCAGGAGGCACCTTCCCCAAAGACATGAAAGGCAATGTGTAGATACTAGAGTCACCTGTGCTTCAGAGTTAAGGTCTCAAAGGCTTTTAAAGCCCCACCAACTCTCACTGCCAGTCATGTATAGACTCTAAGAACCTGAAGCAGATTCTCCTCTAGAGGTGGGTGGAAAAGACTTACCTTATTTTTGTATAATGACCATAATGACCTTTTAAAGATCAAAACCATACTTAAAATGAGCCAAGGTATGGTTTTGGATCTTTTAAAGCTCATTATACAGAAATATGATAAGATAAATAAGTTTGTTTTTCAGATTTATAACTGTTTTTAGGAATAGAGGGCATCAAATATGATCAAGCTATTTATGTCTCCAAAATAGAAATGGCATCATTATGTCTCATGTACTTAAAAAATTATGTCACTACTGAAACTAGGAATTGCTGCTCATAGAGACTGTTTATATCATGGTTGTATTATTGCAATATTATTTACAATAAAAATTGTATATTGTACAGGATAGCCTATGAGAGAAAACTGGATAGACATCTACCCAAAGTCAAAATGATGCCCCTTTTTGAGAATACAAGTTTAGAATGCAAGTATTCTCAGAAAAATTATCCATTCAATGTGGTAATGTACAAGCAAATATATATAGAAGCATAATATGTAATCCACTGCAATAATGGAAAGTGTTTAGTTAAATCATCTATCTTATCATAAAATAAATCTGTTAGCATTTTACTTCAGAAGAAATAGCAAAGAAGAACTTCCATTAGACATCAAAACAAAGGACTTCAATTTGCAGGAAGACATTTCCAAAAGCAGGAGCAAGACTTTAAGATACACTATCCAACCCTAGATTCCTGGTGTAATGGGACAAAATCTCTATAACATTATCAAGAGGAATATAGAAAAAAACTCATTGCCTGGGTTGCTCTTAGTTCAACTAACCTAAAATAGCATGTTCAAAAGTAAGTTTACTTTCTTTTCATTCTCCCTCAGATTGTATAACAAAAGAAAACCCTAAGTACAATGAAAGTATTTCAAAAACACACTTTTTAAAAGGCTATTATTGTTGACTAAAACTAGTAATAGGGAATAAATATATATATATATATTTAAATTAAAGTCTATTTTTGTTACCCATTAGCCGTAAAACACTGTGCTAATTTAAAGACAACTCATCAAGGACCAGGCATGCTGGCTTACTACTGTAATCCCAGCACTTTGGGAGGCCGAGGCGGGTGCATTACCTGAGGTCAGGAATTTGAGACCAACCTGGTCAACACCCCGTCTCTACTAAAAATACAAAAATTAGCTGGATATGGTGGCGCCCGCCTGTAATCCCAGCTACTAGGGAGGCTGAGGCAGGAGAATCACTTGAACCCAGGAGGCGGAGGTTGCAGTGAGCCGAGACCGTGCCATTGCACTCCAGCCTGGGTGAAACAGGGAGACTCAGTCTCAAAAACAAACAAACAAACAAACAAAAAACTCCAACCTGCCTGGGTGACAGAGTGAGACTCCATCTCAAAAAAACAAACAAACAAAAGCTCATCTATCTTTCTACGCTCTCAATTCATTTGCATTTTTGAAAAGATTGAACATGCCTAGAGAGTAATCAGAAATGACATTTTTAAATACTACAAAATTAAAGTTAATTAGCCTCATTTGATGCTACCCTCATTTCTGGTTTTTAAATGTATGGAGCCACTGCTACAAATGGTGGACAAACTTTGCAGAGAAGATTCTACCTCTCACTAAAAACAAAGCAATCTCAGAAGAATCAATAACAGTGAAGACATGGAAGGTCAGAAATAAAAATATGCCTTAAAGGCATGTTTTGTAGGGTGAATGACCAGAAAAGTCATGTGAATCTGATGATAAATGAGGTAAAAGCATATTTCAATTATTCTAATGAATACCTTGGATAACACAACCTAATTGCACAAAAATCCTTAATGACTGGCATTCTTGCCAGTACAACCATAAAGAATCATAACATGGTGAACCAAGAAGGATACAATAATTAATGAAAGTGTTATAGAAGGCTTGCTCTAAGGAAGTAGAAGAGGGAGGTGCATAGGATGGGAAAGTATTCATAGAAATTAGCAAATAGTGCAATCTTGAGATTTAAAAGAGAAAATCATAGGATGAATATGACTTTTGTGATTAAAAATCACTTTTTAATAATTAATTATTGAATTTTCAAATAAATCATAAAGCCAGTACAGCACCAGGTTTCAGCAGAAACAGAGTATCTGATACAATCTGTAAGCATTTATATTGGCTGATAGTTGGCATGTTTGCTAAGGGGGATAACAAATAGACTGAAAGCTACAGACAGAATATTAAAATTGGAAACCCAGGGAAGGCAAGGTAAGAAAAGGGCATGGGAGGGGACACAGAAGCACAACTACCTGTTACGTAGTGTTTGGAAATAAAAGGAAAACTAGAGTCTCAAAAATAGGATTGATCTTCAGTGGGAAATGATGCAAACTGAATGAAGAACAAGTTAGGAATTTTGATTATAAATTTTTATAAAATCTTGACATATGAAAAAAATACTTTATCATTATCTAGATTGATGTTTCTCAAGCCTAACCACATCAATATCCTCCAGACTTAAATATTAGCTTGCTTAAATTATTATTTAAATGTTTCATAAGCACATAAAGCTTAATATGTTCAAAATATCACTTTGCTTACTCCATCTTAAAACATATTGTCTCATATTCAAAAATGGCACAGCTGTTAGTTACCCCAGTCAAAATAAATCCCCCATCTGTCATTCTCTCATATATAAGTTATATAACTTATTATATAAATTACATTGAGGAGATCATCTTGTTTCTGCTCCTGTCAATGTTACCATGTTTTGATATTGAGTGTCTCCATTTTAGCTGAAGCCCACGTTATCTTATACCAGAAATCCCATATCAACCTCTAAACTCATTTTTTGTGGTTATTTTAAAATTTCCATTCCTGCCCTGCCTCGAGCTTTTTCAATCCTATAATTCATTATCTTTACAACAAGAGTAATCTTTTTAAAACTTAAAGCCAATAATGTTTTTCACCTATCTTAAAATTTTGTCATGGCTTACAATTCAAGGCCTGCAGGTCTCTGTCAAGCCGTGGATGCGGGCCTCTCTTCAGCAGGACGGAGTTTGTTAAAGTTGTTAAGAGTAAGGCCTACTTTAAGAGATATACCAAGTGAAATTTAGAAGACGACGAGAGGGTAAAACTGATTACTATGCTCGGAAACGCTTGGTGATACAGGATAAAAATAAATACAACACACCCAAATACTGGATGATAGTTCATGTAATAAACAGATATATCATTTGTCAGATTGCTTATGGCTGTATAGAGGGGAATGTGATAGTCCGCGCGGCACATGCACACGAACTGCCAAAATATGGTGTGAAGGTTGGCCTGACAAATTATGCTGCAGCCTATTGTACTTGCCTGCTGCTGGCCTGCAGGCTTCTCAATAGGTTTGGCATGGACAAGATCTATGAAGGCCAAGTGGAGGCGACTAGTGATGAATACAATGTGGAAAGCATTGATGGTCAGCCAGGTGCCTTTACCTGCTATTTGGGTGCAGGCCTTGCCAGAACTACCACTGGCAATAAAGTTTTTGGCACCCTGAAGGAAGCTGCGGTTGGAGGCTTGTCTATCCCTCACAGTACCAAACAATTCCCTGATTATGATTCTGAAAGCAAGGGATTTAATGCAGAAGTACACCGGAAGGACATCATGGGCCAGAATGTTGCAGCTTAGTTGCTAGCGCTACTTAATGGAAGAAGATGAAGATGCTTACAAGAAACAGTTCTCTCAATATATAAAGAACAGCATAACTCCAGACATGATGGAGGAGACGTATAAGAAAGCTCATGCTGCTATAGGAGAAAATCCAGTTTATGAAAAGAAGCCCAAGACAGAAGTTATGAAGAAGAGGCAGAACCATCCCAGAATGTCCCTTGCTCAGAAGAAAGATTGGGTAGCTCGAAAGAAGGCAAGCTTCCTCAGAGCTCAGGAGCAGGATGCTGAAAGCTAAACCAAACAATTTTCTATGAGGATTTTTCAGATAAAGACAATAAACTTATGAACAGCAACTAAAAAAAATTAAGAAATAAATAAAATTCAAATAATCACTGTGACCTAATTCTTCCTTATTATAATCTATTCACACTGTCCTCCATTAAGACCCCCTACCCCCTCAAAAACTAAATGCTTTAACTTATTTTCTACCTCATACCAGTATTTTCAGCATATACATTCTCCACTAGAATCCTTGAATGTTCTTCCTATGATTCATTAAACATCTGGTTCTTTCAGATCCTTTAGGTCTCAATACAGATGTCACCTTCTCAAGAAGGGCTTCCCATCTTAAAATAAAAGTTGAAGAAAAAGAAATTAAAACTAAAAAGAAACTGCTAAAATTAAAAAAGACCTTCCCATAACATACCATGTGAAAATATTCTCCCAAGTTGTCATAATGTATCTTCATATTTAATTTCCTTATTTATTATTGAAATGTGCAATAATCTTGTTTCTACATTTCTTTACCAGATTTTTGTATGTTTCCTTTCATTGGAATAGTAGGTCCATAAAACAAGGGATAACTAGTTTATGTGAAGTTTGCACGTTACCAGAGTAAGAATTCAATAAACAGGTGGTAAATAAATAAATAAGAAGATTATTTTGAAAAACAAGAAAAAGTGTGATGTTTGGTTTGAGAATCAAACTGAGATCGGATATTAACAATGTTAGGAATTATTTTGGTTCATTTCATTCTTTTTTCACACTGCAGGATAGTTTTCTATTTTTCTTTTCATTGTATCTTTTTTTTTACAAGGAGACAAAATTTAAACAACGCTGGGATTTTAAAATTCAGGCATTTTAAATGATATAGTGTTAACTCTCTGTAACTTAACTCCACATTTTTAAATAAGTGACTATGACAGGATTTCTTTGGGCCAGGTGTCCACAACAGGGGAACTATAAATTGTAGCAGAGACTCCAGTTGGCTTAGTTAGGGGTAGAAGATTATCCTAAATATAAAGAACTCAAGGGAAATATTTAGCCATATTAAAATAGCATTTAAATTCTATGTCAAATATGAGCATTGTAGTTATCACAGAAAGTCTATAAAATAACAATATTTACTCATTACAGTGATAAAAATATAAAAATATAAAAAAGATGAATAAAAATCAACTGAAAGAGCAGATATACTTTATAAGTGGTAAAAATAATATCTAATTATATAAATAAAAATTGTGATTAAACATAAAATACAAAGTGAAAACTATGAGGAGCTGTACAAACTTGTGAAACAGAACCAACAAAAAGACATGAGAAAGAAGGAACAGAAAGTAGTATCCAGTAAAGCATAATGCCAAGAAATTACAAAACTAATACAATTTTCACCAATATTATACATTGAAAGCTAAAAAAAATTGTCACCTGAAAAATAAATGTGAGGGCATATCTCCATGTATTTTAGTCAGAGTTAATTTAAAAAAGAGAGAAAAAGCAAACAGACATGGATGGTAAAATGTATGAGTTAAATGTGCATAATACACATTATACAAGGATGAAATGAATAAAGAAAATGGGTTAGGATAGTACCTAGAATCACCCATTCCTAAGAAAAAGCAAGAAGTCTCAAATTTAGAAATTGGATTATTTGCAGACATAAAATGACCTCAAGCCTTTCTCATGCCTAATGCAAATGATATAAAATATTAATTGTGGCTTCAAATGTTTGCAAACTAAGAATGTACTCATAATTCAATAAGACTGTGAGGAAGTAAATCCTCAAAATGTTTCATGATGCTGGATCATCTATTTAATTTACTATACGTTTCCATACTTGATCTTTCTGTCTCTGAAATAATTACCAAGTTTACTTATTAGACCTAGAAGCTTGAGTTTAATAACTGAGTTAGAGTAATAAACAATTCAAAGAAATGTTATCAGGGAATTGTCCTAGCCATATAAGGGCAGTCCTGCAAATAATTCTTTAAAGTTTTTAACCTCTCTTTTCCCCCAAACAGATGAATTTCCAAACTCTGACATGGCTCCTGAAAATTTCACCAGGGTCACTGAGTTTATTCTTACAGGTGTCTCTAGCTGTCCAGAGCTCCAGATTCCCCTCTTCCTGGTCTTTCTGGTGCTCTATGGGCTGACCATGGCAGGGAACCTGGGCATCATCACCCTCACCAGTGTTGACTCTCGACTTCAAACCCCCATGTACTTTTTCCTGCAACATCTGGCTCTCATTAATCTTGGTAACTCTACTGTCATTGCCCCTAAAATGCTGATTAACTTTTTAGTAAAGAAGAAAACTACCTCATTCTATGAATGTGCCACCCAACTGGGAGGGTTCTTGTTCTTTATTGTATCGGAGGTAATCATGCTGGCTTTGATGGCCTATGACCGCTATGTGGCTATTTGTAACCCTCTGCTGTACATGGTGGTGGTGTCTCGGCGGCTCTGCCTCCTGCTGGTCTCCCTCACATACCTCTATGGCTTTTCTACAGCTATTGTGGTTTCATCTTATGTATTCTCTGTGTCTTATTGCTCTTCTAATATAATCAATCATTTTTACTGTGATAATGTTCCTCTGTTAGCATTATCTTGCTCTGATACTTACTTACCAGAAACAGTTGTCTTTATATCTGCAGCAACAAATGTGGTTGGTTCCTTGATTATAGTTCTAGTATCTTATTTCAATATTGTTTTGTCTATTTTAAAAATATGTTCATCAGAAGGAAGGAAAAAAGCCTTTTCTACCTGTGCTTCACATATGATGGCAGTCACAATTTTTTATGGGACATTGCTATTCATGTATGTGCAGCCCCGAAGTAACCATTCATTGGATACTGATGATAAGATGGCTTCTGTGTTTTACACGTTGGTAATTCCTATGCTGAATCCCTTGATCTACAGCCTGAGGAATAAGGATGTGAAGACTGCTCTACAGAGATTCATGACAAATCTGTGCTATTCCTTTAAAACAATGTAATTTTAAACAGTACAGGTAAATGAGGAGAGAGTTAATATAAGCTGCCATTATGTAAAAGAAAATGTAGGAAAAAGAAAAGGTAGGTAGCCGAGTTACAGTTTGGTAAGCAATCATAAGAATTACAACAAGATACAATTTAGGGAGCTTTGAATTAAAAAATAAACTGAAACCCTTTGAGTTGTGAGGTTAAGTTAGAAAAAAAAAATGTTATTTACCAATTCTGCCTGGGATTAAGCAGGTAGACAGTTTGAAATAAAAATGGTTTCCAGCAGTTAGAAAAAAAAATTAAAAAAAGTTAAATAAGTTTGAATGAGGCAAAATATTACGATGAGAGAAGTAAAATTGACTTTCTTATTCTTTGTCTTCTTTCACTGCCCTCCAGGTATAGTTGGGTATAGTCAATCAATTCATCTTGAAAAACTGAAATTTGATTAAAAGATCCTTTTCTTCATCTAAGTTATCAAAATTAAACTAACAATCATATTTAAAATAAAATTTTCTAATGATTTCTTAATTTTGCTCTAAGAATGAAATGAATACTATCAATGAATTTATATTTTGAATGCTAACCAGAATAAGATTAAAATAATTTTATTCCACTTAATATAATTTATACGATTTTTTAATGAGAGACAGAGTATCATATTTAATATGCTTTCAGTCTGGATTTGATTTATAAACTCCATGGATTCTGTACAAATGTCCCTTTCTCCTTACTCTAAGTATTATTCTTCTTTAGTGTACAAAATGAATGCCTTGTGTTATGATATTATTATACATTGAGTGAAACATATTAATGAAAGTTTCTTACATAATTGGAAATAAAAAATTCATTTTATAAAAATTTTTTTCTGCTTTCTGATAACTCTTGTTCACTGAGCGTACATTTAAATTTCTTGCACAGCTTTGCATATGAGGGGACACAGCTAAATTTCAGAATTATCAAATCAGAATCATAAGATAAAGGTCAATAAATTTATATGTTAATAAGCTTCATGGGGAATTTTTGACATAGAACCCTTAAGAATGAATCTTGGGGCAGTGGCTCATGCCTGTAATCACAGCACTTTGGGAGCCTAGGCAGGCAGATCATTTGAGGTCAGGCATTTGAGAACAGCCTGACCAACATGATGAAACCTCATCTCTACAAAAAATACAAAATTAGCAAGGTACGGTGGTACATTCCTGTAATCTCAGCTACTCAGGAGGCTGAGTCAGGAGAATTGCTGGAACACGGGAGGTGAAATTTGCAGTGAGCCAAGATCTTGCCACTGCACTCCATCCTGGGAGACAGAGCAAGACACTGTATTAAAAAAAAAAAAGAAAAAAGAAAAGAATGAATATACATATACTGGACAAGATATATTACATTCTGTGTGTATGTTCACCTTATTTATAAGGGTGTTTCAGTGTAGAAGAGTTTCTTCAATTATAGGGAGTAAATCTTAAGTCATGATAATTATGATACATCAAAAGAAATGTAGGAGAGTGGAGCTAGATGTTTGAATAGGATTCTCCAGGGATCACTCCCCAGAGAACCATCAATTTGAACAAATATCCATGCACAAAAATATCTTCACAAGAGCTAAGGAAACCAGGTGGAGTTTGCAGCACCTGATTAGAGCATAGTAATAAGAAAAGCTGCATTGAGGAGAGTAAGAAGAGCAACTTTACATCACCCACATCACCTCTCCTCCAAACCCAGGAAACACATCATAGACAGACACACCATTTGCTTTGTAAAAAGAAAATAAAATGAGCATAGGATATGTTTTGGTCCCCAACACTGGGACTACTATAGTAAAATCTAGCACCTGGCAGCCCCTCATGGCCCCTGAATCTGGGCTGGTAACTCCTGACGGAGGTCAGAGCCTCCTGCAGACTGAGTCTCCTGGCCTGCCCTGGTGCCAGGCACGAACCTATAGGCACGGCAAAATGTACCTGATTTCTTGCCTTACTGATGGCTGACTACATTGGTCTTGGGCTCTGGGCAAATCAGGCCTTAGTGGCAGTAGACTTTGAGTATACTCCAGTGCTGCACCAGCCTCAACAGTCACCAGGATTCCAGCCCCAAGATGCACTGACCACAGCAGTCTTGGGTTTAGGGTACCACCTAGCACTGCAACAGCTGCCGTGGTCACAGGATTAAGGACAATGCCACCCAACCTGCCCAAAAATTATAAGCAAGCTTACAGTTTAAGAGTGTTCCCAGAAAAGAATTTCCCAGACTGTGAAGACCAAAATAAATAATAAAATGCCTCCCATCAAAACAAAGCCCAGGACCCGATGTCTTCACTGCCTAATTTTACCAAACATTAAAAAGCAAACTAATAGCAATTCTGAAACTCTTCCAAAAGTTTAAAGATGAGGGAATATTTCCAAACTTATTTTACAAGGCCAGCATTATTACCCTGATATCAAAACCAGAAAAAAAAAAACACAAGAAAAAAAGGAAACTACAGGACACTATCCTTGAGAAACATACATGCAAAAATTCTCAACAAAATACTAGCAGACTGAATTCAATAGCATACTAAAAAGATAATTTACTATGATCAGTGGAATTATTCCAGGAATGCAAAGATGGTTCAACATATGCAACTCAATAAATGTGATACATCACATTACCAGAGAGAAGAATGAAATCATATGATCGATTCAACATAAACAGAAAACACATCTGACAAAATTCAATATCCTTTCATGATAAAACTCTAAACATATTAGTATAAAAGAAATGTAACTGAACACAATAAGACTAATACATGGTGAGTCCACAGCTACTATCAAATGCCTAGCAAATACTAGATCTTATTCATTCTTTCTATTTTTTGTACCCATTAACTATCCTCACTTCCCCCCTTATCCCCCTACTACCCTTCCCAGTCTTTAGTAATCATCCTTCTATTCTCTGTCTCCAGGAGTTCAATTATTTTCATTTTTAGCTCCCATAATTAAGTGAGTACATGCAAAGTTTGTTTTTCTGTGCCTGGCTTATTTCCCTTAGCATAGTGATCTCCAATTCCATTCATGTTGTTGCAAATGACAGGACCTCATTACTTTTTACAGAGAGACAGTACTTCCTTCATTAAATACAATAACTATCAATTTAAAAAATTATCATTTAACCTAATGTGATGATAAATTAATGAAATATCATTCTTATGTGTTCATGTAACCACATTGGACATTTCTAGGGAAGGAGAAAAATTATCCTTTGAAATAAATTTACAAAAAAATGTTTGGACCTCTGCACAAGGTGTGTACCTGGTGCTATGAAGAATGTCTCAGAAAATGCTTGATTTTATTTAGACCCTGAAGTAAAGAGTGAATGTTAAACCACTCTTTGTGTAATGATAAAGTTGTATCTATGTTCCTTTCAAACAACTTGTGTTGAAGAAACTAACAGTACAATGAGTATAACTTTTTTGGGAAGAAATTTCTGAATATCTTTCTTTATTTTATTTTATTTTAGACAGGATCTTGCTCTGTCACCCAGGCTGTAGTGCAATGGTGTGATCATAGCTCACTGTAACTTCAAATTCCTGCACTCAAGAGATCCTCCCGCCTCACCTCCCAAATAGGATGGCAGATATGCACCACCTACCATGGTTTTTTTTTTTTTTTTTTTTGGTAGAGACGGGGACTCACTATGTTGCCCAGGCTGGTCTCAAACTCCTGGTCTCAAGCAATCCTCCCACTTCAGTCTCCCAAAGTGCTGGGATTACAGGCGTTAGCCGTCATGCCCAGCCTGAATATTTTTCTTAATCTTTAGAAGTTTCTTCATAAAAACATTGAGTAGATATTTTCCAATCCTGTCTGTTTTATGCTTCCTCTCTCTTGTGAATCAGGGTACATGGGTTCCATCTATTACTTTCCTTTATTGCTCTCCTTAAAAAAACATGTAAAAAATAACAAGATAATGCCTACAGCAATGAAATCATACACTGTGAATTTACCATAATATCTGTGAATATTTAAACACCACTATTACTTTTTTAAATAGAAAAAGGTGGTTGTGTAAAATAATTATTTATTAAAGGAAATGAGAAGACTTGCTTGAAAGGAGGGATGAAAGGGTGTAGTTACATAGGTAAGACACATGGAATTATTTCCTGTAGTCAAACTATTCAGTATGATATAATACCGTAATGGTAGATAAATGACACCATCCCTTTTTCAAATACTCATAGAGGTATACAGAACAGAGAGTAAATGTTAATGAAAGATAATTTAAAAATAAATCATTTAGTAGGTCTGAGGAACCTGAAAAGGAGTGCAGAATGTGGCAAAACAATACATTGTATTAAAAATGCACAAAACATGCCAGGCATGGTGGCTCATGTCTGTAATCCCAGCGGAGGTGGACATATCATTTGAGGCCAGGAGTTCGAGTCCAGCCTGGTCAACATGGCAAAACCCCCTCTATCCTAACAATACAAAAATTAGCTGGGAGTGGTGGCCTATGCCTATAATACCAGCTACTCAGGTGGTTGAAGCAGGAGAATCACTTGAACCCAGGAGGCAGAGGTTGCAGTGAGCCAAGTTTGTGCCACTGCACTCCAGCCAGCAAGACAGAGTGAGACCCTGTCTCACACACACACACATACACACACACACACTCACACAAATCATGAAACAATTTCCCTGGAAGAGATGGGGTAAATGTGCTGATGTAAGTAACATCTAAAAGAGTGTGAAAATTAAAGGCAGAATGAACTAATGAACGATACATTACACTGTAATTATAAAGTTGTGTCTCATAGGGATATGTTTTAACAATTCTGAAACAAGTATGATTGTATACTAGAAATGAACAGTTAAATAAATGGATGGCATATGGTTGTTCCCACATTTCACATTATTGGAGTAGAAGGTTATAGATTAGCAAGGAGAGTATTCTAGAGTGATCCATGTGATCAGGGATTAGTGTTAACGATGAAATGAACTTATAATCAACTTAATATAAACACTAGATAGAAATAGTTATGGATATGTATATACAACATATATGAGTGAGTATCCACAGTTCTACCTCCTTGATCTGTCAGCTGAGAAGGCCTAAAGGTATGTGAACAATTCAGTGCAGCAAACAGACTTAGAACCCAAATAACAGTTTCTAATAACAATATTCCAAAAAAGGAGCCAGAGCTCCTTTGAGACTTGACTAGGAAAGGGTGGGACATTTACGTAATGAATCCAGAGCATATTATAGTTCCAGAGGTTAAGGAAGCACTGAACGAACGTGAGAGAGAGAAAGGTAGGGAAGAAGGAAGGAAAGAAGAAAGCAAAAGAGAAACACGATGATAGAGCTATGTCAAAATAACACAGGAGCAAAGTGAAAGGGTTTCCAATGAATAAAGCCAGAATAATTGGTGCAACAAAAATAAATAATGTAGAATATCAGAATTGAATTATTATCCAAAGTATAAAATAATTGTTATAACATATTGGTAGAAATAAATGATTGAACAAATTATAAATGGAAGAAAAGAGACAAATGTCCCCTACAAAATTCTCACTAATTTATGTAGCTATTCTGCCCTCAAGGAGGTGAAGCATAATTCCCCATTCTGTAAGTGTAAGTTGCACCTACTGACTTCCTTCTGAAAAGTTAATATGAAAAGGAGAGAAGAGTAACTTTTCAGTGGAGAAACCTGACAGGCACTATTTCAGCCAGATGATCAAGGTTAACATGAGCAGTGATAAGTCATACTGATAGTATGTACCTTCATTATGATATGATTAGAATGTCAATTACAGTTATGATTTTCCTCCCCAATAACCAATTACCCCAGTCTAATCATGAGAAAAATATCAGAAAAAGCCTAATTGAGGGACATTTCAGAAAACACTTAACCACTATCACAGTCATAAAAATAGGAAGTCAAGAGGGCATAAGAAAACATAATGGCAAAATTCAATATTCTATCCTGGATAGATGCTGGAACATAAAATGAACATTGGGCAAAAACTAAAGAAAGCTGAATAAAGTGTGAACTTTATTAAAAACAACAAGAATGCCTGACATTCATCAACATCACTCTGTTAGCTAAGACTTACTGTGGCCCATCTCCCTCCTTTTCCATACGAATAAATGGAATTTTATTTTAAAAATGAAAATCTGAATAACACAGTTTATGTTGCTAAGTCTAGTATGTTTTTCCCCACAAAAACCTCAGGCCTCTTTATTCTTGGGGAAGAAAGACAGATGAACATATTGTGTCATCAGCAACCATGGGCTTGACTCCTGATAGAACCACTGAGTTTTTAGAAATCAAGGTATAGATACAAGGTGTGCTGGTTGCTACTAAGGTGTCACTCTTTTTAGTTACTTTCAGCAAATTTAGATAGGAATTATAAGCATGGATAACAAACCATTTAAATACACAAAAAGGGTGGGTGTGGTTGCTCTCTTCTTAACCCCAGCAATTTGGGAGGCTGAGGCAGGAGGATCACTTGAGCCCTGGTGTTCAAGATCGGCCTGGACAACATAGAGAGACCCCATCTTTGCGAAAATTAAAAAATTAGCCAGATGTGGTGGTGGACACCTGTAGTCCCAGGTACTCGGAGGCTGAGGTGGGAGAATCATTGAACCCAGCTACTCGGAGGCTGAGGTGGGAGGATTACTTGAACCCAGGCGTTGCTGGTTGCAGTGAGCTGTAATCACACCAGTGCACTCCAGCCTGGGTGACAGATTAAGACCCTGTTTTTTATAAAACAAATCATCTATCTATCTATCAATCTATCTATCTTCTATCTACACACACATACACATATACACACATATATATTAGATATTTTATATCTATCTCTCTGCCTACCTACCTACTTCACTATTATATCTATCTAGATAAGCTTAAGCACATAGTGATGACACAGCTTTTAATCTAGCATCACAGTGTTCATTCTAGTCATCTCCACTGATCATTTTCAACTTCTTTTTCTGAGAGTGGAATACACAGCTTCTTAGCTCTAATCTAATTGTTTATTTATCTGATCAAGCTTAGTATAAATAGCTTTAGAAATGTCAGCCAATGCTCATCTCCATAGAATTCAGATACATTTCAAAAAGCTGTCTGAAGCTGACAATATAATCTACACTCCCACCAAGTTTAGTAATTTTCTAACATTAATTCTCCAAGATGCATCCATAAATTCTGCTTTGCCAATAAAATCTTTATCACTAATACTGCCCTTTGACCATGAATGAATCTCCCCCTAAAACATTTAGAACCATGTAAACTTCAAATGTAGGGCCATATTGTTGACTTCAGTATCACTAAAAAAAAAACCCAAGTTCACTACGGTTCTTCTGTCAATTATAAATCCTCCACTGGAAAAAATAAATTGTCAGCTGGAAAAATTTAAGATCTAGAAAGCTCATATTTCTTAGATAAATGTTTATTCTTCTTAGATTAGAAAGATATATTTTATCTTTAATAATTTTCCTAGAGGAAAATTAGATAGTGAGAGTCATTTTGTGTGCCTGAGCTAAAATACAATTTCCTCAATTATTGAAATTACATTTCAATGACAGACTTGAGACTCTAGAAATTGCATATTTATTAGTAATTTCATGATTTTTCTTAACTATGAAAAAGTCTCTACACCATTTAATGTTTTTTCCTTTGTTTACATTGGCTCTACCTAAAGTTCTCACATAATAATTTCCCACAACTCAGGAGAAAAGGTGAGATTAATAGCAATGTCCCAGTAGAGTCTTCTTTGAGGACATCAGATGAAAAGTACACCTTATTTTAAACTCTCTAGGGCCTTAAAATGAGGATTAAAACAAACAAATAAACCTCCCAATCTCCACCTACACAAGTCAAAGTGGAAAAAACAATGTTGAGAAAACACAAACTTTTCATTAGAGGAGTGGAGAGAACACTGGACTTTGCTTCCAAGGATTAATGAGAACTACACTGTGGTGATGAGGGTACATTAGGCAGACCCATCTTCCACTTCTATCAATCAGTGGCACAGATGTAAGCACAGGTATCTCTGTTTGATTGCTTATTTTTTGTTTGATTGCTCATTGCAAGAGTCAAATCTGTTACAGTCAATGGAAAAATATCCCATACTGTAGAAAAATTATGTATAATTTCAGCATTTTGATGAATAAAAAAAACCTAGGGTTTCACCTTTTCAAAAATAAAAATGTAATCGACAAAACAGAGGAAACAATTGAAACTACAAAAATGTTATTTAGGGCTAGGTGCTGTGGATCACGCCTGTAATCCCAGCACTTTGGGAGGCTGAGGTGGACAGATCACTTGAGGTCAGGGGTTCGAGACCATACTGGCCCACATAGTGAAACCCCATCCCTACTAAAATTAGCTGGGCTAGGTGGCAGGTGCCTGTAATCCTAGTTACTCAGGAGGCTGGGGCAGGAGAATCACCTGAACCTGGGAGTTAGAGGTTGCGGGGAGCCAAGATCATGCCACTGGAATCCAGCCTGGATGACAGAGTGAGACTCTGTCTCAAAAAAAAAAAATGTTTTTTAGTAGAAATTTCATAGATAATACAATTTGAAAATGTTTGAAAGCATGTGGCATAATGCCTGACATATAATATACCTACTGAATGAGTATTGATGTTACTGAATAATTGCAATAGTAATAATAATAATAAAGTTTAGTCTCTGATGGTAAAAGTAAATTCAGCCATCAGGATTCATCTACTTTTGAATATTATTAAAAGTTTGAGGAATGATATTTTTAATAACTCCATTAAATATCAAGCTGTGAGTGGACACTTGTCATAGCCTTAGTTGACTTTTTGTTCCTGAATCTGTCAAAAGTGCAAAGACCATGAAAGTATCTATTTCAACAAAATGGTCACATGCTACAGAAGATGTATGTATTACAAACTTTTGAAAATATGTATTGGGTGCTTAATTTGTGCAAGATACTATTGTAGGCCCCAAAGGTACAGTAATGAACAAAACAAAGTTTCTTCTCATATGGAGTTTCTATTTGACAAGGAAGATGGATAATAAGCAAATATATAAAATAATATCAGAGAGCAAGCAGGGCTTGTGACTATGTGGAGGAGTGTTCCAAGCAGAGGGAATAGCAAGTACTCAAATCTTAAGACTAGAACACAAAGGCCATGCACAATGTTTAGTGTCTTCCCAGTACAAGTCAATATCGCTTGATCCATTCTGAACTTGGTAACATTTATATGCAACTGAGTTTGCACATCTAATTACACGACCTGGTAATATGGTTCATCTCTTGTGACCATACATTTTCTGTTCCAATATAATATTTATGGAATCGTTTAGATTTACTACGTGTTACCCAATGTCTTGCTTCTGTATATGGAAAAATAACCAGAAATTAAAATATGTTGTAGTTACGGCAATAACAAACAAACAGACAAAAAGAAATTGCTAGAACGTCAGTGTGGCCGGAGCGCAGTGATTAAAGCAAGGAAGTTCAGGAATAATTCTGCAGTAAAAAACAAGTTCCTTTGAAAGGACAAAAAGAAGAGCCATCATTGCTGATCCACTGCTAAACAGCTGAGTAACATAAGCAACACATTACAAAGCAGTAAATTCCCTGTGGCCATTGAGTGTCATTATGATGTTGAAATAATTGTTCTGGAGGCCAACACACTGGTCAGCAAAGTTGATTCTTTCACCAAGTAAATGGAATATAAAATCAATAATACTCTATTAATCATTTCTTTTATGCAATGTCTTTATCTATTGGATGATAATAGGAACAGATGAAACTATTAAAAGAAACTCTTGATTAATCGATTATTCTCTACTAATTAATGTTACCCGAAGGATTGCCTTCTAAGCTCCCCAGTTTAGGAAGAAAACATATGAGGCCTCTTAAATAAAAAAGTTTTCCTTTATCACTTAAAATAACATTGTAAAAGATCCCTAAGTTAATATGGGACATCATTTCCTTAATTTTATTACAAAAAAATTGATGAATGGCATTTGTTGAAGCATGGCCAGCATTAACAGATGCTTCGGTAAGCAAGGAGGTGCTGCAGTTCTTCAGAATCTTTTTATTTTCCTGAAATTTAGAAAACTTAGGCATGGGAACTCATAGATCCGCTGAAAGTAAGAAAGAATGGAATTGTATAGTGACTTTTAGTATACACTCACTCACTGATCAACATTAAACACTGGTAAACAAATCTAGTCTAATGTGACAAGATTAAAAAAAATTGCCACATTACATTTATCTGAACAGTCAAGTCTACTCTCTGGGTATGGTGTTAGTATGTCTTTACTCACAGACACTGTTTTCTAAGTTATGTTTGTGATGAGATATAAGAATGAGAAAAAGGATATTGTAGAATGGACTAAGCCATGAGTTACATATAGACACTTACAGTGCCAGTTACAACTCTGAATAAGAATTGTAAAGGCCTTTGTTATTCTCTGAGGAAGAAATGTATTAACTTATATTTCAAAATACCATCATTTAAAATACATACAACATTTTCTATATAAAGCGTCTGAACTTCCATATTTTACAAATGACAATTTTGGCTTTCTGTGGCCATCTATAAATCTGATTTTTCAGGTATTAAAATTATTTCATTATTTTATTGTTTAATCTCATATATTTTAAGACAAAAAATAAAGAGAATTGGGGAACCAAATGTAATGTTTAGAGTTTTAAAATATTTTTTATTCATTGGTAAGGATTTAGTGTCAAATGGCTAGTCCAGGATCAGGATCACCACTCATCCTCTGAAAGTTTTTTTTTTTTTTTTTTTGTGCGTGTGTGTGTGTGTGTGTACATGTGCATGTTGTACTGCACATATCGATTCAGTATCTCAATATCAAACCTCAAGTCATGGCATTTTGTACGAAATCACAGAGATGGAAAATTAAGCCAATTTTACTAGATGTATTTCTCATTTGAAAAAACAACTATGTACTCAAATAATTACTTAATATATTACACACACACTTATAATTCTTATCCTAATTAATATTTACACCATTTAACTAAGTTGTGATTTCTAAGCTTTTGTCACTTTTCCTGTTTCAGTCAAAGTACTGTGTTCATAAAGCTACTGTTATTGTTAGAAATTTACTTAACAGAAAACTACAGGGATGATTTTAAATTTATAGCCAATATGGAAAATATACAAATCCACTCTTCTTACTCACACAGTAATTTACAAGACATTTCTTATCCGTTGTCTAGTTTGGAGTGACTAGGACATAAGCACATGCCCAGAGCTTTTGCAAAATGTCTCATGCATAAAATATTAAGGAGTAGGTCCTTGGAAGAATTGGATACACATTTCATAGAAAGCTATTTGTGAGAATTTTCAAAAAAGATAGTTAGCTACCTGCCTTTCAAAGCCAATATTGAAGATTGACACTAAATCTACAACAGCAAATATATTTTGTAAAACATAAAAATATAGTAATGTTTTTAAAGTTAGAGGACCCTTAATAATGTCATACTAAAAACAGCTTCACATCTGCAGTTATTTAAAAACAGATCAGGTCAATAAATCTTTAGCCTGCCTTGCAATTCCAATGAAGTACAGACTGTAATTTTTATGATACTCTTACTTGCTTCATACTCTGGAACAAGATCCTTTGGGAAAGAGACACTAACAAAAACCACATAGTCATTGCTATCCACACCTATTATGAGGAGAAATACAAGTATCCTCTTCCCAGGTAGAATAGAGCATATTTCAAGATGGTGGGCTTTGACTCATTTATAGCTAATACATTTGCTATATTAACTCGAGATAAGTATTTTTAAAATTAAAGAGTGCCGTACAATAATTAGAGAAAAATCATTACGAGTACATTTTATAAAATAAAGTGTTTTCTCTGGTTTTATTTTAATTTTATATGTGGGTATGCATTGTGATTTTAAAATATTTCTTATTAGATTGAAGTAACTAAAAATTCCTGTTTAGAATTTTTAAAAATGTTTGGAAATAAACAGTTCCGTTATTGACCAAATTATACATTCTATGCCCAAACTCTGCTTTCCCCTCTTGCAGTAGCTAGAAATTTTACCCAGGATTAGTGGGGCATTCGTTAGACATTACTAATATGTCTCTAGAGATATTTTCCAAAGAAAATAATATAACCTAGGGGCAAGGGGAAGAAATATTCAAATGTCATTCCAAAATTAATCTTTAATTCCCCATCATCTAACATCTAGAAGAGACTACATTAGGAAATGAATAAAAACAGCGTGATTTTCAACCACAAAGGGTCTAAAGTCTATCAGGGGAAGATATATGGAAACAGATGGTTGTAATAAGAGATGAAATATAGATTAGGTATGTCTAAAATGTTTTTGGAAGACAAATATGAAAGCTGTTAACATGGGAAGGAAAAATTAAGTAGCTCTTCATAGAAGTGTGATATTTCAGCAGAGCTTGAAAGATAAGTAGGAGTTTCCATTTTCACTGTCTATTTTTCTGTAAAGAAAGAAACTAGGAATGGCAAGATTAAAAATAGAGAAGTATGGAAAGGCATTTTGTTATTGACAAATTGAGACCAATCATTAATTGAAACAATGGATGCTCCTGCTGACTGGAGAGTTGAGTGGAACCGGGATAATAAAAATATTCAGAGATGATACTATAAAAAGTCACATGTCCTTTCAAATATAATGCATGCTCTCCTTTGGATTCAAAGTAAAATAGTTTGTGTGCACACGTTTCAGGGTTTTGTGTTTTACAGGTGGAGAAAAACGAATGATAAGAAAAGAGACCAGAAATATAGGGTAAAGTTGGATAACGCTTGCTTTCTTTCCAGCCTGGACTACTATCTATTCTTTCACTGCTCTATCTTCAGACTCTATGCACGCTCTGAAAATTAATAGTCCCCACTATATATTATTGAATAAAGAACTGAATGAATTGAAATAACCTTCTACAAGAGTAGCAGTTAGACAAAATCAAGGAAAATGTTAAGGATAGAATGTTCAGTCTTGGTTACAGATTACAGTGGGTGGTATAGCTAGGAACTGTTAAAGGTAAGTTGCTTATCTACTCATGTTAGTGAAAATGGTTCAGTGTGTGGGGACTAGTGTGTAGGTTTTGAAACTGTGCTTGTAACTACTAGTAGATCTTAAATCCACTTTTTAGGATCCCAAGAAGCATTGTTTGAATTAAATAGAATGGAACAGATTACGCTAGAAAACGAAAGAATATGTAATACAAGCGGATGTCAGGGAAGCAAAAGTATTATTCTCAATATATCTATTAGTTCCATGCCATCTTATAACAAGTATTTATTTCTATAGTTTGTCATAAAAAAGTTTGAGTCTGAAAGTTAGTCTTCTTGAGAAGGGTTTGGTCTGAGCAGTGCAAAGACCAAAAATTCTCTTTTTACTTACCTCCCTTTTCTCTTTTCTTTTTCCTATTTTAACTCAAAATTGACGTTCAGTTTTTAACATGCAATTAGAGATTTGGAATTTATGGGTTCCTATGTCCTTATCCATCAATTTCCATGTTGCTATAATTAGACATTAATGTTCCATCTGTATTAGGGTTTTAGGATATCTAGTATATACTTACATATTGCATATCTAATATGTATCTTATACATATAATAAATATAATTTATTTAGAATAAAATTAAGGTAAATAAGTATTTTTTGAAAGTTATTACTTACCACATTATGTTGCTCAATAAATATGTTTATTAATACAAAACACAAATAACTGAAATGGATTCTTTGATTAATTGAGCAGAAGTAAATACTCAAGAGCTATTAGTAAACTCTGAAGAACAGTGAAGAAACACAGGCTCTTATTTTATTTATATATTTATTTGCATAGTAATTTTCAAAGCGTGAAATTTATAAGTTTTTAAGGAAAGCTCTATTTTCCATTACTAGATATAATGGTGGGAGAGAGAAGAAAGAGGAGTTGAGAGACATGATATTTGATACTATTTGGGTATTCAATAATTCAATTTTAAAATTATCCAAAATGAATAAGAAAATGATGATACACAACATTAAATAGAGTAGGAAAACAAAAATTAATGCAAAAAATGTAATTAAATCAGTTTTTTAATAAAAGATAAAAAAGCAGACATAAACTGAATTGTAAAGAAACATAAACTTCCAAATCTCTTAGAAAGCAAATATCAATTTTACTCTAATTTACAGGATAAGATTATGTGAGGATTCATTCCCTACATTCATGTAAGTTCATGCTTTAGATATAAAGATGTTTATACGGTGTTATATTCTTTTTGCTCTCCATCACATTTCCAGAATTCCAGTATGCTAACAATCATTATATTAGTTAAATAAATTAATAAATAAATCTAATTAATTAAACTCTTTACAATACAATAAATATAAAAACACCACATATAGGATTTACAGTATTAAAATATGACTTAGACTTAACTCTTTTCTCTACTTCCACATTTAGATGGCCAGAAAAGATATGGCTCACATCAATTGCACCCAGGCGACAGAGTTTATTCTTGTGGGCCTCACAGATCGTCAGGAGTTGAAGATGCCCCTCTTTGTGCTATTCTTATCCATCTACCTCTTCACAGTGGTAGGCAACTTGGGTTTGATCCTACTCATTAGAGCGGATACAAGTCTCAACACACCAATGTACTTCTTTCTTAGCAACCTAGCTTTTGTGGATTTCTGTTACTCTTCTGTCATTACACCCAAAATGCTTGGGAATTTCTTGTACAAACAAAATGTTATATCCTTTGATGCATGTGCTACTCAACTGGGCTGCTTTCTCACCTTCATGATATCAGAATCCTTGCTACTGGCTTCCATGGCCTATGACCGATATGTGGCCATTTGTAACCCTCTATTGTATATGGTTGTAATGACTCCAGGAATCTGCATTCAACTTGTAGCAGTTCCTTATAGCTATAGCTTCCTAATGGCACTATTTCACACCATCCTCACCTTCTGCCTCTCCTATTGCCACTCCAACATTGTCAACCATTTCTATTGTGATGACATGCCTCTCCTCAGGCTAACTTGCTCAGACACTCGCTTCAAACAGCTATGGATTTTGGCCTGTGCTGGTATCACATTCATCTGCTCTGTTCTGATTGTCTTTGTCTCCTACATGTTCATTATTTTTGCCATCCTGAGGATGAGCTCAGCTGAAGGAAGACGCAAAGCCTTCTCCACCTGTAGCTCTCACATGCTGGCAGTCACCATATTCTATGGCACCCTGATCTTTATGTACTTACAACCAAGCTCAAGCCATTCTCTTGATGCAGACAAGATGGCCTCTGTCTTCTACACGGTGATTATTCCCATGTTGAATCCCTTGATTTACAGTCTCAGGAACAAAGATGTAAAAGATGCCCTGAAGAAAGTCATCATCAATAGAAACCATGCTTTTATTTTTCTGAAACTGAGAAAATGAGTTCAATAGACAAAAATGGGCATTCCTTCATAACCAGGTTTTCCCCCACATTAATAAAACTATTGGAATACCTTGCTCTTAATTGGTAAGCAATAAAGATCTGTTTACTGAAAAAATTATTCTTTGCATTTTTGTAATTTTTTTGACTTAAAACCATATTTCATATGTAGAAAGTACCATAAGAATTTACATCATTTCTCACAGGAAAAATGTATTTTTAAAATGTATTATCTCATCTGATAGTTATACAATTAGGTGCTGCCAGGAATAGAAAAAATGAAAGCACTCTGAATGCCCAGTTCAGGGTTGTAAGAGTTCTTTAACAATATGTTAAGACTATTTTATAGTATATTTAAAATTAAATTTAATAATATTTAATTAAATTACCTGCAACAGTGTCTCTACATAGAGGTAATTTTTCTCCCAGGGGGACATTTGTCAATACTTAGGCTTATTATTGATTTTCACAATGACAGGATACTGTGAAGGAATGCTATTGCTATCTAGAGGGTGGAGGCCAGGTGTGCTGCAAAATATTTTACAATTCACAACATGGCCCCTCACTCAAAAAATTATACATCCCCAAATGATAATAGTGCTGAAGTTGAGAGAGCCGGTGTTAAATAATTTTTTTTTTCCTCAAGAGTCATTCTATAGATTCATTAAGATCAAGCCGGTTGATAGTGTTGCTCAAGCCTTTTTTGGCTTTATGGTTTTCTCTTTATTTGCTCTATCAATTATTAAGACTGATGTTAAAATCCCAAGTTAAATTACGTATTTACATTTATTTTCTGTCAGTTTTAATTTTAAATGTTTTGGGGCTCCTTTGTCATTTGTGCATGAATTTCTAGTTACTTAATTTACTGATTTTTTTCCTTATTAGCATTATTAAATGCTCTTCCTTTTTTGTGATAGCATTTAATGACTAAAAGTCTATATTTTTCTGACAATATAACCACTTCATCTCTCTTGCGGTTATTATAAGCATGGAAGAGTATTCCATCATTTTACTTTCATTATATTTGTGATTTTAAGTGTACATTTTGTCTCTTGTAAACAGCTAATAGTTGGATTTTTGTCTTTGTAATTAACTCTGAATAGCTCTCCCTTTTAATTAGAGTATTAAGTCCATTCATTTTTAACACAATTACTGATATGGCTGAATTTATGTCTTTCATGTTGTTAATATTCTAAATAGTTCAGTTTTTTTTTATTTCCTTGTTTGAGTTCTAACGCCTGTGTTAAAAAATTTTAAGTTAGAAATTTAATTTCTGATGTGTTAAATATGTACACACACAAACAGACACACAGACATGCATTAGTAATGGTTGCTCTAAGGATTTCAATATTGATTTTAACTTATCACCATATACTTCAGATTAATACTAGCATAGCACTATGTAAATACATACATACATACACACATATGCAGTGTCTACTTATAAACCTCAAGACTGTATTATCATAATTGAATATGTATGCAATTTTATGTCATTAGGAGGACACAAGAAATATACAATTGTATGTCATTTATATAAATTAAGAAGAGAATACTTATGTAGACTATATATACACAGACATATGACTATATCAATAATATGATGATACATCAATAAATAAAAAAAATGATTGACATATCTGCCATTTCCAGTGTGCTTCGTGTATTTCTGTGATTGAAATTATCATACAGAATAATTTCTTATCCTCTGAAAGACATTCTTATGTACTTATTATAAGGCAGATTTGCTAGCAATGAATTATCTTAATCTCATTTACCCAGGTCTTTAAGTCACCTTTATTTCTGAAATATAATTTGACTGGATATAGTATTCCCTGTAGACAACAGTTTTCTTATAGCAGTTTGGACATGTCATCCCACCACATTCCATATTTTCCTTGTAAGAAGTCATGTGTTAAACTTGTGATTTTCTATAGAATTAATCAACAACTTTCAAGACTTTTCGCTGTCTTTGGCACTCAATACTTTGACTTTCATTAGCCTAAAGATTTCTTGGTGTTAATCTAACTTAAGTTTGGTTGAGTCCCTTAGATCCACATGTTAATGCTTTTCTTTCTCAAATTGGAGAAGTTTTCAGTAATTTATTCAAGTATTTTCCCCTTTATCTCCCTTCCTTCCTTTTGGGACTCCCACTTATTTTTACTGGTACACTTGATATGGCACACTTTATTGGTACCACTTTCTGGTGCCCCAGAAGTCGCCAGGATTTTCTTCATTTTTCTGTAATATTCTTCTTCTCTGTTTTCTAGAATAGACAAGTTTTATTTACCTATTTTCAATTTTACCAATTCTGTCTTCAGCTTTATCACTATTCTTTTTGGTCTAACCAATACATTTTTCATTTCAGGTATTGTATTTTTATCTCCAAATATTCTTTTTTTTCCAAGAAAAAATTGCTATAAGGATTTATTGGAGAAATTGATGAAATTTGAATATAATCAATATATTAGAAAATAATGTTGCACAAATGTTTTCTAGTTTTGATAATTGTACCTTGATAAAGTGACATGATATGTGCAATTTATTCTTTTTAAAATTATTATTTTTTCAGTATTCCTCTTTTATTATTATACTTTAAGTTCTAGGGTACATGTGCACAACGTGCAGGTTTGATACATATGTATACATGTGCCATGTAGTTTTATCTCCAAATACTCTATCTGGTTCTTTAAAAAATATATATTAAAATTTTTTTCCATTTGGTAAGATATTGGTAAGCTAATGACTGGATCCCAGGGTTTGTATCAAATGTCTTATTGGCCTTCTCATTTACGTATTTTTAGCTGACGGTGTAAACTCAATTGTGATTTTCACTTCCTATTTGAAATCTATAAAAGACATATTTGGGGAATCTTGTCCATCTTCATCCTTAGATAGCAGAAAAATACACTATATTTGGGGAAAAAAAAGTAGTTTTATAATTGCTTTCCACCCCTCCTCTTCCCTACCACCTTCCCCCAACAAAGCCTTTCGCACTGTAGAGGATTATTTTGCTTTTTCAGAGATGCTCTCCTATTCAACTCAGGCTACAGTAAAAAACAAAGAAATAACAACAACAAAAACCTCAAAACTTAGACTGGGTGGCCTAAGTGACAGAAATTTATTTTCTGACAGTTCTGGAGACAAGAAGTCCAAGATCAAGATACTTTCTGATTCAGCTTCTAGTTAGGTCTCTCTTCCTGGCTTGTAGGCAGCCACCATCTTCTGTCTGCTCACATGACCTCTTGTTTGTGAGCATAGAGGAGACAGAGAAAAAAAAAAAAAAGAGGGAGAGTGAGTGAGCATACACTTTTGCGTCTCTTCTTATAAGGGCACTAACCCCCTCCCTTATAACCTTATCTAATCTTAATTTTCTTCCAAAGTTGTTGTCTCTAAATATCATCACACTGGGAGTTAGAGCTTCAATATATGAATTTTGAGAGATACAATTCAGTTCCTAGCAGATGCATTGTTCTGTAATAAGTATTACAATAATGTTCTTCTCTTGCTATGGCCACAGATTGGCTAAAAAAATAATCTCAAAGGCTATTCTATAGACCAAGGAACTATAAAAATTAAGTAATAACAGATAGCAACAGCCTTAAAAAAGACACAGATGTTTCATGAGCATTTCAAAGAGTAAGCCAAAGAGAGAGTACCATGTCTTAAATTATTCTGTAATAGATTATTGGGAGTTCCAAATTAGTTCTTTGGAAGATATGTTGTAAAAATTTTTGCAAGGTAATTTTTATTTTTCTTTTAAAAATAAATCTAAACTTTATCACTAAGAAACAACAAAAGGAAAAGAATTCAAATAAATAAATAAATAAATAACAAGAACAACAATATGAACAAGTAAAATATGAATAAATAAATAGCACTATTAATAATAAAATTATCAATCAATAAATAGCATTCCAAAAATAAGAACATTAGAGCAATAATGTCATGCTAAGTCAGAGCTATAGATCTTTGGTTCCTCAAAGCTTGAGAATGATGTTAATTTATCTCTAGCCTGCTTTGGAATCCCTTAGGTCATTAACTATTTTTTCTGATAATTTTACTTGCATCATTCTCCTAAATAAGATCCTATGGGACAGAGGGGACAGAGTGACTGTCAAAACCCTATATTCTGTTGCTGTCCAAACCCACTTGGAGAGGAAATAGGAACACCTTTTACCCAAGTAAGTTCAAATAATATGTTTCAAAATTAAGGTCAAGATAAGCATTTTAAAAATAAAGTAGCATAGAATATAATGAACTTTATAACATTTTAGATGGCATTTTCTGAAATAAGGCTAATGTTTTCTATAATTTTATTTCTGTTATATATGTATGCGTTATATAAAATATATTTCTTATTGGTATGAGATGAAAAAGAAAGTTTGGGAATACCAAGATAAAATTTATTAGGCTGCTTGGAAAAGTTGGACACTTAATTGACTAGATTGCAATTTACATTAAAACTGTCCTTCCTATTTTTGCCCATATAAAAAGTGAGCACATCAAAACCAAGTCATCAATATGTCATCTAATGTGTTTGTTATAAGTAAAGAACATTAATTGTGAACCAGTGAAATAAATATTGAAAGGTTCTTGCAAAAATTTAATTATTAATTTCCCATTACCAAGCATCTAGAAGGGGCTACATTAAGACATTAATTAAAATTTCATGGCGTCCACCCATGGACTCAGCAGTCTATCAAAATAAAATATATGAAAACAGATGTTTGCCATATATGTGATATAGGTAAATGAATTATGAATACAATGTTTCTAGAACACAAAGATGAAAGATGGTAACACAGCATGAAAACTAGAAATCAGGGAAGCCTTGAAGAATAAATAGTTTTCACTGCAGCTCTCCATTCGCCATTCATCTGGTAGAGGTAAGTGTAAGCAAAAGCACATATAAAGCCTGGGTAACGTGTAAGGGCATGTTGTATTTGAGGACTGTAAAATAAGGTTTTTAATTGATCACTGGGTGTTGTTTGAGGAAGAAGGGAAGAGATGTTGCTGGAATTTTGATGGAAAACATCATGGACTATATTGTAAAAGGTCATGTATAATATTTTTTCAAATATAATGTACATTCTACCTTTGAGATGAGATAAAGTGGTACTTCAAGGTGAGATAATAAATGTCTTATAGTTGTCAAACAGTGCAGCCTTACCTGAAATCTCCAGACATGAAAACTAAATTTCCTATCAAATTGTTGCTTAATCATCTCAAAACAAAATTTATGTATTTGTATGAACACCAAAAAGTCTTTAAAAACTTTGATGATGCACATATTTCATGTAACAATAAGCAGCAGCAGCAGTAATAATAAATATTATCTGTTGTTATCTTCTTCATAGAAAGTGGTAGAAACATACATGCACACATACTCAAAAATATTCATTTTTGATTTTCATGTCCATGATTTATAAAGAACATCTAAATTTTCCTGATATATTCCCCTGCTGTTTCCTGAAATAATAAAAATATATCAATTAGGTTTCTTTTGTTAATTTATTATTTGCTGAGATTATATTTCAGGAACTAAAATTTTAAGACACTTTTCTCTGTATTCAACTTAAAAGGTACATTACGTGTAAAAGTTTACCTATACCTATCTACTTGCATTACTTAAGGATTTTCCATGTGTTCTTACTTTTTTGTATTTATTTCCTCAGACTTTTCTATGTTCAAGGCCTAGAGGTATATTACCTTGACCACCCATACATACTATGTATGTAGAAGTCAGCATAATCACTTTTAAAATTCATTGACAGCTGGGTGGTAAAGTGATTCTGCTGACTTATACATACGTGTAACTTTTAATACATCAGGGAAGCAAGTTTTATGGTTTAATATTATTTTCTAATTTAAAATATATTTATACCTGTTATGTGCAGGAGATAACTTTCTTTTGATAGTAACAATGATTATTTCAGATAGAAAATAACACCTTTTATAGATTAGGAAGCTTAAAGAACAAACTGAATTTTTGATGTGCCAAAGTTTATGTAACTAGAGAATGATAGAAATAAATTCCAGGTCTCCCAGTTTTATCTAGAGTTCTTTCCACTGTATCCTGCTTGACTTAAATACCTACAAAATGCCATTTTTCAATAGTTACCTGCCATTAAAATGCAACTGTTTATCACAAAAATGCTAAGTTTGTCAAAATTCACTATATTTACTTCCTCATAGCCATAATGGCAATTTACATTCACTTTTTAAGGGTAATTGAATACTATTTGGCCACAAAAAAAGAATGAAATCATGTCTTTTGCAGCAACATGGATGGAAATGGAGGCCATTATCTTAGTGAAGTAACTCAGAAAGTAAAACACCACATGTTCTCACTTATAAGCGGGAGCTAAATAATATGTACACATGGACATAGTATGTAAAGTACCTTTATAAATATAATAAATTTATGCAGAGAGAAATATGTGTTCCCACAAAATAACCTCTTTTACCTTTCATCCCATCCCATCCCATCCCCAGACCTCAAGTGAGCTAATAATTTTAATACTAAATTAGCACTTACATATTAACAATAAAATTGATTTTAAGGATATTAAGGTATTAAAAAATTATACAAATGTTAAGCTTGATTAAACTCTCCTCTTTTTATCCAGACAACCTGAAGAGGTATGACTCAGATCAATTGCACCCAGGTGACAGAGTTTATTCTTGTGGGCCTCACAGATCGTCAGGAGTTGAAGATGCCCCTCTTTGTGCTATTCTTATCTATCTATCTTTTCACAGTAGTAGGCAATCTGGGTTTGATCCTACTCATTAGAACAGATGAAAAACTCAACACACCAATGTACTTCTTTCTTAGCAACCTAGCTTTTGTGGATTTCTGTTACTCTTCTGTCATTACACCCAAAATGCTTGGGAATTTCTTATATAAACAAAATAGTATTTCGTTCAATGCATGTGCTGCTCAGTTAGGCTGTTTCCTGGCCTTCATGACGGCTGAGTGCTTGCTACTGGCTTCCATGGCCTATGACCGATATGTGGCCATTTGTAACCCTCTGATGTATATGGTGGTAATGTCCCCAGGAATCTGCATTCAGCTTGTGGCTGCTCCCCATAGCTATAGCATCTTGGTTGCACTGTTTCACACCATCCTCACCTTCCGCCTCTCCTATTGCCACTCCAACATTGTCAACCATTTCTATTGTGATGACATGCCTCTCCTCAGGCTAACTTGCTCAGACACTCGCTTCAAACAGCTCTGGATCTTTGCCTGTGCTGGTATCATGTTCATTTCCTCCCTTCTGATTGTCTTTGTCTCCTACATGTTCATCATTTCTGCCATCCTGAGGATGCATTCAGCTGAGGGAAGACAGAAGGCTTTCTCGACGTGTGGCTCTCACATGCTGGCAGTCACCATATTCTATGGGACCCTCATTTTTATGTACTTACAGCCTAGCTCTAGCCATGCCCTGGACACAGACAAGATGGCCTCTGTCTTCTACACAGTGATCATTCCCATGTTGAATCCCTTAATCTATAGCCTCCAGAATAAGGAGGTGAAAGAAGCTCTGAAGAAAATCATTATCAATAAAAACTAGAGTTTTGTGTTTATAAAATTAAGAAAGTAACTTGAGTAAGGAAAAATGGACTTCTTTCATGGTATGATTTTTTTCCCAGTATAAGTTATCAGGATCCTTGTTTCTCAATATGTGATGTATACATATATTTTCGCTGTGTAATACAATTTTCTAGAGAATTTCTCTTAGAACGTTAGGTATAAAAGTAACTATAAGAATTTACAACACTTCTCTTATTTTTCAAGTGGAAAATATATTAAAATTATTAATTTTCTTGCATAATATTTTATACCAATTTTCCTATTTCTCAAATGAAGAATGCATAAAAAGTCATCATCAAGATATATAATTAGTTATGTGCAGAGCACAGACAAAAGTTAACTCCTCTCCCCGTCCATCCCCAGTTCAGGATTCTGAAGCTGTATTTACAATATCCCACGTGAAAAATAAAGACACATAGTCTAAACATTTTCTTTCTCAATTCCTAATTTTTTGAAAAAATACATGACAATATAAAAATGTCCTATATTTATGCATTTAACATATTGTCTTTATTAATACAAAGAGTACTGCTTTCTAACCTCACCTATGTTACTGACTGAATGTACCTTCTACTTCCTGGAAGTCTTGTTCTGTCTCTGAAGACTAACTCTCTAAGAGAACTGCTTTTCTTATGCCTACAAGATCTCATTATACTTTTTCCCAAAATGTAAATAATGTAACTCAGGGATAGAATTCTGGAGGGAGGAGGGGAGGGCATTATAATTCAAACAAATATATTCACAGTCATTGAAACATCATAAATCATTTTTCCAGTAACAAGGATTATATACAGTTGTGCACAGCAAAGCTCAGGTAAGCTGGTCATTATTTATTAAGGTATAGCTTATAACTCAATGAACCCAGTAGGCAATGTAGCCGAGTGAATAAGCACATGCCTTATAGTCAAAGTATGTGGTTAGATCCCAAACATGTCATTGTGCTCTAGGTATGCTCTTATGAGTTTACTCATCAGATAAATGAGAATAATGTTACTCAGTTTAGAGACTTTTATAGGACTAAGCAATATGGAAAGGGGTAATAATTCATGGTAGGCACTTGAGTATCATTTCCCTTCCTTCTATGAACCTGCAGACTTGAGTGCTAGTCTACTAATTATAAGTCACATAAACGTGAGGGAGCAATTTATAAATGAAGATTATTGTACACCACAGCTGATAAATTGATAATAGAGAGAGAGAGAAAGAGAGAGAGAGAGAGAGAGTAATCATTTTAAAGTATCTTTTTAACTTTTATTTTAAGTTCAGGGATACAAGTGCAGGTTTGTTACATATGTAAAGTTGTGTCAGGGGGTTTGTTGTACAGATCTTTTCATCACCCAGGTATTCAGCCTGGTACCCATTAGTTATTTTTCCTGATTGGCTCCCTCCTCCCAGCCTCCAGCCTCTGAAAGGTCCCAGTGTGTGTTGTTCCCCTCTATGTGCTCATGTGTTTTCATCATTTAGCCTAAGAAAGATTTGATTTTATGAATCATGCCTATCATTTAATATTTTTGCTTCACTTTTTTTCATCTGTAGCCTGTTTCCATACTTAATGGCAAAAGATTAGAAATATACTATTAATGCCCACTGAGAGATTATATTAAAATAGAAATAATTCTTAAATAACCTGCTTTAGGTTAGTGTCCATTTTCAATAATTTTCTTATATATTTGTGAGGTTGTAGAGACATAGGAGTAGCATGACCCACAGTTCTCAAAAGTTTATTTCCTCCTTTTTTCTTTAAACACATGTATCTACTACTTGAACATTTCAGTGCCTTCCTATTGTCTCACATAGGATTAAGCTCTGGCAGAAGATGTTAAGTCTGTCATCTATATATTGAAAGGTTATAATTAATGTTCTTAAATGCATAACCTCTTGGCTGGGCGTGGTGGCTCACGCCTGTAATCCCAGAACTTTGGGAGGCCGAGGCAGGCAGATCACAAGGTCAAGAGATCAAGACCATTCTGGCCAACACGGTGAAACCCCATCTCTACTAAAAATATTACAAATTAGTGGGGCGTCGTAGTGCATGCTTGTGGTCCCAGCTACTCAGGAGGCTGGGGCAGGAGAATCACTTGAACCCAGGAGGCGGAGGTTGCAGTGAGCAGAGATCGCTCCACTGCACTTCAGCCTGGTGACAGAGCGAGACTCTGTCTCAAAAAAAAAAGCATAACCTCTTATCTTAGCAGGCTGGTACATTGTCTGTGCATCAGCCATTCTACTAAAGGGCGTAGATATTTTGGGGAATAAAAGCCTGAATGTGAGCTCTAAATCTAACATTTGCTGAGTTGGAAGTCCTCAACAGTTTATTCTATTTATGTATACTCTAGTTTCCTGATCTTATAAGAAAGTATGAAATATAAAAAGTAAAATGAGGTGAAGAAAATATCAACTATTAAATTCATAAAATGAAGCAGTATGAAGATAAAAATATATCAGCTGTTAAATTAATTGTCCCAAAATCAAAAAAGATTATGATTAAAAACTTTTGTTTGAGTGAAAAATTTTTTAATTGTAATTTTTACAATTTCATACCTAACTTGAAAAAGCTAAACATTTGGAAAATTATCCAATCACAATTAAAGCTTAAAATTTTCAGGTTAAAACTGAGGATTTGTTATATAACTGTTAATATAGGAGAAAAAGATTTGTCATGATTTCCGCTTAAATTTTGCGGATGATTTTGTTAAGTTGGTTTTGTCCGTTTTGAGGACAGTCATGTTTCATTTGACAAGTGCTTCAAACTCGTTAACAAATTAGTCCACCTGTGGAACATATCACAACAAAATATTTCCAAAAAATGTGAAAGTATGAGTCTGTATTTAATGGCAAATAATTGGCAAACAATCTTTTCTTTAACTTTTATTTTTGATCGGGCAAACAATCTTTAGTAGCAAATAAATTCATGCATCCCTACGGGCACCAGATAAGCACAAATTATAGAAACACCAATGTGAAAAATTAAGTTGTCAAAGTGCATAAGCATCTAAGGTATTGAAACATGGAAATATGCATATAAAATTAAAGTCAAGTTTATGAAAACAGAGGATAGCATAAAATGTAAAGAACCATTAAAATTGAATGGGAAGGCAGGAAGGAAGAAAGAAATGGAAAGAAAAAGGAAAGATCAATCTCAATATCACCACATAGGTATAACTACTGTTAACATTTTGTCATATTTTATTTGAGTATTTCTGTGCACATATATATGTATACATACATGCAATATCACCTGTATATATTTATATATGTAATCCTTCTTTTCATGTCAATAAATGAAAACCTATATCAACTTTTAAAGGGTCATTTAGTATTTTATGAAGAATTTACAGTTACTAAATATCTGTTAGAACGTATTTAGACAAATTCCATCTTACGGTAACTGAAATTAAACAATATATGTACTTGCATATTTTTATTATTTTCTTATGGACTTAGCATTGAAATCATTGCATCAAGTGGCAGAAATATTTTAAACAATTTTGATGCTTACTGTTAAGCTACCTTCTAGAAAATTGAGGATAAATTACATCTTTACAGGATGTTCATGAGGATATATCCATTTCCCACACCTTTACCAACATGGATATTTTCATCCTTTTAATTTGATCAATCTTATGTTATCTAGTCCTTTGATATTTAATAAAATTGATTATTTCCCTTTGTAATTAACAAATATATTACATGGAAAGCAGCTAGAGATTCATCATTGATTTTGTGTTCTGCTTTTAGCATATTGCGTAATCATAAAATATTTGTCATTTACTAATTTTTGTATTATTTTATTTATAATATTAACCTATGTTTATATAACTACCACCAGTGCTGTGCTGGAGGCAGCCCATACTAGCGTCCAAGAACTATATCTGCAAATCTCTTTTGAACTCATGTTCATGACTGTAGGTCAGTAGCTTAAAATCAGCTAAGATGGGAGTATTTACAGCATGGAAATCACAAAATCAACAGATGTTACAAATTAAATCTTCCTTTTTCTTTTAAATTTGAAAGCCAGTTGATAAACATCCACTGGAATGCCATTGATCTCCACCCTGCTTTGCATCCTACAGTTTATATTTTACTTTTTGTAAGAATAAGTAACCTTTAATTACTTTAAGAAATATCTTGTTTATCTTGAAAGTTTAATAAATCAATTTCAGTTTATCTTTCATGCATTATGAATTTGAATTAACCTGTAAATAATTTTTTTCTTCCCCAAATGCCACCCCACTACAAAATAATGTGAATCTATAAATTTATTTAAGTTAAGCATAAACAATATGCTTAACTTCTGAAGCATATTGTTATATATGCTTAACTTATATATGTATGAATATATAAAGCCAATATTTTGCCAAGTTTAATAGTAAATTAAAATTTGGGTTTTACTTTTTCCTCATTATTTTAAATGGAATCTTGAAAACTATATTTTCACTTTTACTTGAAGCTACATTTTTATTATGGTATCATTTTCATTATGTAGCTTGGTAACTGAATGCTTCACAACAATCATAACAAATCTAATAATATTTTTCCACTGAGCTTATTGGTTCAAGTACCAATAAGCTGTAATATATACTTTAGAATATATACCAATATAGTATAATACATACTTTAAAAATAATGATATTTTTACCACTGTTTTTGTTGCATGGGCTAGGATACTGCATAATGTTTAGTCAAAGCCATGGTTGTCTTGATTCTAAGTTGAGTAGAAATATCGAGTATTTTGCCTTAATGTAGTATTCTAAAATATGTTAGCATTTCTTTTATCATTGAAGTATTTATCCTGCTTTTCCTATGATACAGGGTTTTTATTGTATATATAACATTCCACATTTTAATTCAAGATATTCTATCTTCTTTAACAATCTTCCAGACTACTAAGCATGTTGGAATATCTGACTGGAGCAAATCCCTTCTGATAATAAGCAGGGAGAATGATGTATAGGACAAGAGAGAGTTATCTTTCTAGTATGATCACCATCAAATAAGTGTGAGTCAAGTCTTTAATCCAAGAAATGGAAGATTATCCAGGATGAATGTTTTGAAGATAATGGTATGAAATACTTCTACACATATTTCATGGCCAAAACCAATAATTCAGAAGTTACTGAATTCATCCTCTTGGGACTCACAGACAATCCAGAGCTCCAAGCCCTTTTTTAGGGGGATCTTTCTAGTGATCAATTTAAGTAGTGTCATGGGTAGCCTTGGGTTAATTATGCTAATTCATATCAGTCCTCAGCTTCACACAGCTATGTATTTTTTTCTCAGCCACGTAGCTTTTGTTTATTTTTGCTACACCTCCTCTATCACCCCTAACAGCCTAGTGAACCTCCTCCAAGAAACTAAAAGAATATCCTTACCTACTTGTGCCTCTCAGTTGCATTGCTTTATCATGTTTGTGGTTTGTGACATGTATGTGCTCTCAGCCATGGCATATGACAGGTATGTGGCCATCTGCAACCCTTTACTCTATAGTATCATCATGAACAGAAGGGTCTGTATTCAAATGGTGGTAAGTACATATTTGTATGGCTTTTCTGTGAGACTCCTACAGGCAATTCTTACATTCCACTTGTCTTTCTGAGATTCAAATATAATAAATAATTCCTATTGTGATGATGTTCCCCTAGCATGTCTACCCTATCATAAAAACCATTACAAAGATGTAAAAGAACTGATATTGTTCACACTTGCTGGTTTCAATACACTTTTCTCCCTTCTTATCATCCTCATCTCCTACATATCAGTACTGTCTGCCATTCTGAGAATTAATTCAGCTGAAAGTAGACAAAAGGCATTTTCTACTTGTGACTCCCACCTGACTTCTATCATCATATTTTATGGTATAATTACCTTCATGTATATGCAGTGAAAAACAAATAATTCTCTGGATACAGACAAAATAGCTTCTGTTTTCTGTATTGTGAAAATTCCTTCAATATATAGCCTGAGGAACCACGAAGTCAAAGATGCTTTGAAGATGATTATGGAAAATCTATGTCTTACTACAAGATAAATGACCTTGGGTCTAATCATAAAGCCCTTTGAATTGGGAGGCAAA